>NC_000007.14:150064440-150215955 GCF_000001405.40 Homo sapiens
TGTAATCCCAGCTACTGGCAAGGCTGAGGCAGGAGAATCATTTGAACCTGTGAGGCGGAGGTTGCAGTACACTGAGATCACACCCACTGTACTCCAGCCTGGGTAACAGAGTGAGACTTGATCTCAAAAAAAAAAAAAAGTAGAGAAAAGCAGGCAATTTGTGGATTGTTAAAAAGAATAAACACTAATCATATTGTTTATTTTCACATACACACACACACACACACACACACACACACACACACGTAATCCTGGCCATTCATCATTCTCTGATTTCATGCCATACTCTCCTTTCACTGGGCTTAGTCAGTGAGTTCACATTCGGAAGGCAGTCTATTCATTTTTTAAGTACTTTACGTTTGCCAAGGTCTCTAATATCAAGGAGAGTTGCTCTCCTATTTTCATCAATAGAGCTAATAAATATATGGTACTACTATGTAAAAAGGGCAAACAGCATTACTATGCCCTTGATCTATGGAAATAATCTTTGTGGATTTCTGTGGATGAGACAAGATTTTAAAGCATTCAGTCTGTGCCTTGGCTGTAACTTTGAGCTTCCTGATGCTTTTACATTTTCCACATAGCTTTTCTAGGGGTGTTTAGATGGATAAATGCCTCTCTAGATAAAAGCATGATGCTGGGCTATCAATAAAGAGAGATGGATTTCCTGCATCAGAAGCTGGATATCTTGATCCCCTGGTTCTACCACTGCCATTACAAGTAATTCCTGCAAGGAAAAAATTGCATTCTGAAGTGAGGCGGGACTGAAATAAAGTAAATCAGTAGCATAAGGGAGACATCGCATCATGTTTGTGTTACTTTTTCATTATCTCTAATGAATAGAATGATTTATATAATTTACCATCGAAAACCAAAGTAATTATTGTATTATTGCATTACTGCTATATATGAAAGATGATGAATTATAGAGTGTAACTTATTCGCTTTACTTATTTTCAAGTCTTAAAGTGAACCCATTACATGACCACATCATAGTTCTTTATGAACGGAGCCTTCACGCCCTCATGAAGAGATGGCATGTAAGGATACCTTGTCCATTGAACCCCAATGATCAGCTAGTGAGCAATTTGTCCACAAAGGAAAGTTAAAGGCTTTACCCTCAGAAAGCAGAGCCTAGGGAAGACCCTTAAGGCTGAAAATGTGAGTGCATAAAGAGGTTGCTGGGTTCAGGTGCCTCAGGGTCGGATGGGGAGAATGCTCTATCAGGATACCATGACCTAGGAATAGGTCAGGTCAAGCCATGGGCTTTGTCCATTTTGCATATGTTTTAGCTTCAGAAAAGGTCAGTTCTTTCCATCTGGGTTGAATAGATGGGGTATTTTGAATCCAACCAATGACTAAAACTGGCCAAACAAATTAATGGACTGACTTTCTCAATTTTCTGTTGGTTGATCCTTTATGAAACAAAAGCAAGCTTTGAGTGAGTCAGTGATAGAAGGGAAGAAGATGGAAACACAAGTGCAATTGAAATGAACCTCACATACTCCCATGCAGTGAAGGAAGTCTTGCACAGTGCCCAGATATCATCAAGAACAACTTGATAATCACAAAAGAATAATCACAAAATAATAATTAAAATTAAAAGGAGTGTTACACTGCTGAGTCATGCTTGTCGAGCTCCAAAACAAATGTTATCTTAAGTCAAAAGTAGGCAAAAGAGAAATCACTGATCTCAAACATACACACACATACACACACACAAAGGAAGGAAAAGACAGGAGAAGGGAGACCCATACATTGCTTCAGGGGACCACAGCTCTAGAACAGGAACTCATGACACTATGTGAGGTGTGCAGAGGGGGGATAAAGGCATGGGAAGGATCCACAGCGATGAGCATCAGAGGCTCCACATCCTCTGTCTGTGTGAACTGGAACAGGCCTCATGCCCTCCCAATGGACTTCCATTCCCTCAGCTATAAATTCAAAGGATTGGAACAACTGAACATTTGAGCTTCTTTCATCTTCTAAGTCAAGATTCATACTAGCAGTAGTATCTTTCTTGCTATGAAGGATTTGACCAGGTATACCTCTATCTTTAGGTGAAAAATTAGGTTGTACTATTTCCTAGAAGGAACAAATTCAGCTTGACAACAGTTGTGTAGAAAAATATGTGTTATTTAGTTGGCCCTACACTTAATAAGCCATAAACTGATACAGCTGTGAACACTATTACTAGAATAGTGGCATTCACATCGTTCACAGTAAAATCATCTCAATGAGCCTTCCACCAATGTCACCAGGGCAGAGATATTCTGTTAATCTCTATAAACACGCGCTGTGTGATGCCTATCAATGAACTGTAGTTTAGTTCCACTCAAATTGCAAAGAAGTCTAGAAACCATGTGATACTAGAATGAACTGAAAAGTGGTTATTTGTAAGAAAAAACACTTGTTCTTGTGTGCAGAGGAGTGGGCACCAAGTAAGAAGAGGCATTTGGTATCAGCACTTTGAATACATGTTAAGGTCCTGTTGGGTTTCCAAATAAGAACTGTGATTGTGAAGGGTCCTCTTCTTTTCTAGAAAACTAATCAACCATGGAATGTGGGCAACTGCTGGTCTAGCTTATGGAATCACTCACAATGAGAAATATAACTGCATCAAAGACAGAGACGAAGGGACTCTAGACACAAGGTCACCTCTTCATGAGGAGGATGTAGAGCCTTGCAGCAAATTCAGTGACACTGCAGTCAATACAAAGAATGAACATTCCTTGACCAGGTTAGGAAGGCAGCGTAGCCAGGAGTTCCTTCTTACATTGAATTTAAATGCTGGATGGGGACTTGGAAATGATTCAGTTTGACTGTCTTCATTTAGAGACAGAGAAACAGCCTCAGAACGCAAGTGTCTTCTCCCCAGAGTTCAATGCCAGTGCAGAGGGGCAAAGAAAGGAAAAGAGAGAGAAAGAAAGAAGGAACACTGTCTTAACCACAGATATGTGTGCATTCTGGGGACAAAGCAGACATAAGCCAAGTATGTTTATATTTATATAGAAGGATATAGTAACCCATCCACAGCACACAACACAGTAAAATCTCAGGCCCTGGAGCCCTGGTGTCCGAACCTCTGGACTCAGATTCTATCACTTGTGGGGTACATAAAAATAAATGCTTTTATGATTTTGTGAAATAATACAGGGAAATCACTTACCACCCAGAACTATGTAGACTTAACTGTTTAGCAGTACTGTTGCTTAGCTTGGAAGGCCCCAGAGCTACAGGTGTATAAAGCCACCTTCAAAGGCAGCCACAGGTGTATAAAGCCACCTTTAAAGGCAGCCACAGGTGTATAAAGCCACCTGAAAAGGCTGAATTGCCCCACACAACAAGGGGGTGGTGGGGGGGGATGGGGGATGGGGTCGGGGGGAGGGTGCGGACACATTTTAAAGAGAGAGGGGATTCAGGCCCTAAAATTTAGAAAAGGTTCTAGATCTTTTTTGTCTCTTTAGACAAAAATGAGACAGAAAAAAAATGAACTCCTAGAACAATCTGGTGATGCCAGCATTTCATTTGTCAGAATCTTCTGTTTAAATATATAAGATAAAATATGTCAGATTGCAAAGAAAATGCATTATTTTGAAACACAGTTATAAATATACAAAAATAAAATGTATTTATATTGCTTTATTAATGATTCACAATGTATTTAAAACACAGGAGTTAGATTTTTTATTTTTAAAGATACATCAGGGAAATGGCTGTCTGGGCTTAGATAAACTAGTAACATTTTACTGTGGGATTGTCTTGGACAAGAAGGCATGCTTTAAATAAAATAAAATCAGTGCTCCCAACGGTATACAAGGATAAATACGCTTTGCTACCTCTCTAAGCTAATTTCCATCCCATTCCTTCATTCAGGCCCCAGCCACACAGGCTTCCTTGCTCTTTCTCAGCAACACTCGGTGCTTCAGGCTGTTTATGCCAGCTGACCTCCACCTGCAACGTCCTTGTCCCAGTTATCTGCCTAGCTCACTCCCTTGACTTGCCTGTCAAATCAGATATCCAATTTTGAGTTTTTAATTCTGATGCTTATAAGAATGGGACTCCTTCTCATGCCTGTAATCCCAGCACTTTGGGAGGCTGACGCGGGAGGATCACAAGGTCAGGAGATCGAGACCATCCATCCTGGCTAACACGGTGAAACCCCGTCTCTACTAAAAATACAAAAAAAAAAAATAGGCGGGTGTGGTGGCGGGCACCTGTAGTCCCAGCTACTCGGGAGGCTGAGGCAGGAGAATGGCATGAACCCAGGAGGCAGAACTTGCAGTGAGCCGAGATTGTGCCACTGCACTCCAGCCTGGGTGACAGAGCGAGACTCCGTCCCAAAAAAAAAAAAAAAAAAAACCAAAAAAAGGAAAAAAGAATGAGACTCCTGTTTAGCAAGGATACCCAATGATAAACAATGCAAATTTGATAATTTACTTTGTAAGGAAAAGACAGCCTGGACTCCAGAAATGCTAGATTCTCCAAAGGCTGTTGAGTTAAACTGCACTCTAAAGCTCGTTCCTTTAGGTCGTGCCCCTGAATGACTCTTGAGAAGGGAATCCCCAGAGACTGACCAGCTCTGTTGCTTGAGTGTCTGCCTAGAGTCCCAAAGCTTATCAAATAGGGGTATGCCTAAAACCTACTATGACTTTGAAATAATGGTGACAGTATGTTGTATTTCAAGATATCTGCAATTGCCACTGTGATATGGGAATATCTGTGATTTTTTTTAGTCACAGGTAATGCCAAAACTACTGTGTATTTTGCCTACAGACATGCTGAAGGGCAGCTGTTTTTTAGTGAGACTTTAATAAAAATAATTATGACCTTTTTGTTTCTTTAAGTTCACAGGCCCCTGGGACCCCACGTTAAGAAACCTTGCTTTAGAGTCTGAGATGAGAGAAGAGGTCTGGGGCTAAGGTGTTAGGGAGGGCCTCTTGGCATGAGGAAGACCCAGAAACCAGAGGAACACAGAAGCCTTGTTTGCAAGATTAGAATTAAAAAAATAGTTTATCTAAAACTTCAGCGGGTGAAACTCATTAAACACACATCATCATTGTGTTAGTGGTGGCTTTCAGTGTGAAGAAGAAGGGATTGTATTCACCCTGGGGGATAATGGTCAGTAAGAGATAAAAGCCAGGGAGAGGTAATAGCCAGGGAGGATAAGACAGCCAGGGAGAGCTTGGGCATGTGAGCTCTTGGTGGGCTGAGCTAGTAACCAACATTTAGAGCTAAAAGTAACCAGATGGATGCTTACTAGGCATTCTCAGACACACTGGGGAGTCCAGAAGAGGGGGCTTATGTTATTTTGTGTATTAATAGCTCAGAGACATGCAGACACTCTGAAATATGTCAGGCTGGCACGCTGGAAACAGTGACAGCTGCTTCCAGAAGGGGTAGATGTTGGCAGCAGATCAGGCTGTGTGAGTAGTCACCAGGGACTTCTGCGGGGAAGGTTTTCCTATGGCTGGGAGTGGGGAAGTCCACATGCTGAATCTCCCAGCAATTCAGGTAAAGGTATCACAAGAGGAGAGCGTCAGATCCAATGGGGAAGCTGGGAAAGGAACATGGACGCCTTCCCAAGAACTGAGGTCCAGGTCTGTCACGTGGAAGGCAAGCAAAGATGCGCTCACCTCAGCCAGGGCTGTTCCCAGACCACACATTCCACAGCTTTGGAGCAGCAGGAAGCACTGTTATGATGCAGGAGCTCGCGAGGCCTCACCCAGGCCCATGCTCCAGATGGTGTAAGCCTGTCTGGAGGCTCTGGGAGGGCCTCCTAATCATCAGCATCACGGCTGTAAGAACAAGGACCAGGTCTCAGGTCCCAACTCACACCTGGTGCCCTCACCACCCGACAGAAGCCTCCTCTGGGGCCTTCCACGGCACTGGACAAAGGAACCATGATGAGTGATTTCTGATATTTAGGTGAAATCAGTTTGGAAGATGTGTATAACATTTCAGAAAAACATCGGTCAGGGGCAGAGAAATAGCCAGGGGCCAAAATTGCTACTTATTTAATTTCTTTTAGACAGGGTCTTGCTCTGTCACTCAGGCTGGAGTGCGGTGGTACTAACATGGCTCACTTCAGCCTTAACCTCTTGAGCTGGAGTGATCCTCCCACTGCAATCTCCTGGGTAGTTGGAACTACAGGTGTGCGCCGCCACGCCTGGCTAATTCTTTTATTTTTAGTAGAGATGGGGTTTTGCCATGTTGCCCAGGCTGGTCTCAAATACCTGGCCTCAAGTGATCTGCCCCCCTCAGCCTCCCAAAGTGCTGGGATTACAGGCGTGAGCCACGGTGCCTGGCCTAAAATTGCTAATTTTTGACATAAGGCAATTTTTTTCTTTTTTCTTTTCTTTTTTTTTTTTTGAGATGGAGTTTCGCTCTGTCACCCAGGTTGGAGTGCAGTGGCGTGATCTCAGCTCACTGCAAGCTCTGCCTCCCGGGTTCATGCCATTCTCCTGCCTCAGCCTCCCGAGTAGCTGGGACTACAGGCGCCCGCCACCATGCCCAACTAATTTTTTGCATTTTTAGTAGAGACAGGGTTTCACCATGTTAGCCAGGATGGTCTCGATCTCCTGACCTCATGATCCACCTACCTCAGCCTCCCAAAGTGCTGGGATTACAGGCGTGAGCCACCATGCCCAGCACAAAATTGCTAATTTTTGACATAAGGCAATTTCTTTCTTTTTTTGTTTGAGACGGAGTCTCGCTCTGTCACCCAGGCTGGAGTACAGTGGTGCGATCTCAGCTCACTGCAAGCTCCGCCTCCCGGGTTCATGCCATTCTCCTGCCTCAGCCTCCCAAGTAGCTGGGACTACAGGCGCCCGCCACCGCGCCCAGCTAATTTTTTTGTATTTTTAGTAGAGACGGGGTTTCACCATGTTAGCCAGGATGGTCTCGATCTCCTGACCTCGTGATCCACCCGCCTCAGCCTCCCAAAGTGCTGGGATTACAGGTGTGAGCCACTGTGCCCAGCTGACATAAGACAATTTCTAATCCACCACTGCACTGTCTCAAGGAAGACATGGACATAGAGCCAGATAGAAATGGTCATGTCTCTCATTTAAATCGGAAACATGGAACATGGGAGAAAACAAGTATGTGGCAGTGTTTCAGAGACAGGCTCCCTAGGTTAGTATGGGTGTGACAGTAGCCCTGTGGACTCCCCACCGTGCCGGACTCTCAGAGGCACCTGCAGGACTGTGGGCCTCGAGGACAGAGGGGAGGTGGCAGTGTGAGGATGGTGTGGTCGGAGCTGCTCAGAGCTTGGAAGAGGAAGAAAAGGGCCTCCCATAAGTAAGGCCAGAGTTGTGGGCGTTTCAGGTCTGCCAAACTCCAGAACGTGGTTTCCTCTGGCTGCGGGCAGCACACAGTGTCAGGGGTCAGAGGCATCAGGAATTGGATGCAGACGAGGGAGTTAACAAGGGAAGAGACAGAGAAGGCCATAGTGTGGAGTGGGCAGAAGTGAAAGATCGGAGCAGGCGGAGAGGGGCCTACCAGAAGCAGTATCTGCTTCTATCAGCTTCTTCAGGGCAGATATCCAAAGGAGAGGGGAAAGGAGGAACGCAGCTTTGTGAAGAAGGGAAGAGGGCTTGCCACAGGGATCCTTTCTATCAAGATGAGAAGATGTGGGCAAGTCCCTGCGTGTCAGCCCCACCGAGGAGGATGCAGGGGGAGCATGTGCATAGGCACCAGCGTGCACATCGATGACAGTCCCAGGAAAGCAGGGACCCACAGGCGTGTCATGAAGGAGGAGAAAATGGGGCTACCTGGGAAAGAAGGCGTTACTTGTAAAAGAGCTGGGAGGTCCAGTAGGGCCGGGCTGGGATCCCACGGAGCAGGCCAAGAGTAAACAGGGCCCCATCTACTCAGGGACACAGTGGCTAACGCAAACGCTGTTGTGGCCTTGGCCAGACAAGGAAAGTGATGCATACAGTCTCCAGAAATGAAACAAGCACATTAGGGTGTATTCGGGGGAATTGTGTTTAAAATTCAATTCTATCAGAGAGGATGAGTTTAACAACAACATATTAGGAGCTTCTCACATTTTTAAGAACCCCACACAAATGTCATAGCTGTCCCGGCTCCACAGCCATGCGAGGGTGGGGACCCAGGACGCCTGGGCACCTGGGCAGCCCATGGGAGCACCGGCCGGTGATGACAAAGCACCATGCAGTGGTCTGTGGACTGCATGGCTCTGTCCTCTTCTCTAAAATTAAAGCTTACAAACCAGTAAGACTGGGAAATAAACTGAGGCAGGCAGGCAGGCAGGCAGCCACCCATGTTTCCGGGATCCAGGATGAACTATGGAAAAACATTTGGGCTCATGCTGTCAGTATGATAGGTGCAGACAGATTTCCTGAGCTCCTAAGAGGAGGAGGTGAAGGAAGATACTGGAAGAGGAAAGGAGAGGAGGGAGAGGAATTTATCATTTGGATAAGGGGAAGAAGGGACAAACCACCTGCCCAGATGAGCGAGAACAAGCAGGGAGAACAAATAAGACAGCAAATCAACTCCAGAAGTCTCTGTTCATCTGAAAACCACAGCGGAGGAAAAGAAAGCATGGGGAGTGGCATCGACTATTTAATGCCGCCCCCTCCCCAAATTCATACTTTGAAATTTTTCCCCTGAAGCGATGGTGTTAGGAGGTGGGGACTTTGGGAGTGATTAGGTGGTGAGAATAAAGCCCACAAGAATGGGACTAGCGTCCTTAGCAGAGACACTTCAGAGAGACCCCTCACCCCTTCCACCACATGAGGACACAGCGAGAAGCCATCTTCTGTGGGTCAGGAAGCCGCATGTTCCCAGAATGCAGAAGACGGACAAGTGCTTTTCAAACTATGTACTATTAGAAAGTGATGGCTATAATAAGCAAATTCTGAAGAATCAAGTCAGTTAACATGACAAAAAAAATGTTTAGAAACAGTGAAGGTGTCAGAGAAATTCAGAAATTATTATTAGTTAAGAGTCCTCAAAAATTCTTTTCTATTTCCTGGTGGGAAGTGAGCTAGCCGTGTGGGATGAATTATTTGATAAGATGCTATATTAAATTCATATTTTTTAAAAGTACTCATGCTATGTTTAATTTCCTTTAGAACTCCCTGATCATAATTAAATTTCAAAGCTTTTACAACAAATCTCTTTTGCATTATTTTCCCAAACAAAACAAGAAAACACAAGGACAAACCCTACTGTGAAGCAGTGGAGACTGGAGTCCTGCATTTGCTGAACTTTCTTTTTATGTGTTGGATTCTGATTTTATATTCATTTCCATTCATGTGGACTCTGAAGAGGTATCTCATTTGTTTATATCATAATTAAAATAATTTTAAAAATAGAATATTACCGAATTCATTAATCAACAGAACAACAAGCTCATATGAAAGATTACAAAAAGGCTAGAACCACTTTTGGAGACAAAGTTTATAATAAGCTTTGTTATTTTATAGCAGTTTTATGCTATTGATGTCCTTGATGGGGGACTGAGAAAGGAATAAAATATTTCATTTCTTTTGCTCTTACCCAGTTAAACTCACCAAGGACACTTGAAGAAGTCACGTCCAGGGATCACTGTCATCACAAATGGAGAAAAGGCCAATGTCTTTCCATGCTGCCTCACCAGAAAAGGACTGAGTTGGTACAGACCTTCACTCCAGCTTACTGTCCATGACCTCGTCACACTCCAGGCCCAGGCTTGAGCTACATGTTCTAGAAAGCCCCTAACTTCTCTAGGTCTCAAGTCTAATCTCTGCATCTGTGCCAGGTTCCCTGAGACTACTCTAAAGCTTGATGATTCACTAGGATTCACAGGACTCAGAAAAGCTTACTTTTCTGAATTAGATGTACTGTTCTGATATATTACAGCAAAAGGATATGAGTTCAAATCAGAATAAAATAAAAGGTACATGGGGCAGAGTCCAGGAGAAACCAGGTGAAAGCTTCCAGGTGTTCTTTGCTAGTGGAGTCTCACGGGCTCTATTAACTTTCCCAGAAACCATGTTACCAACCACGGACGCTCACCCATACCCTGGCGTCCAGGGTTCTTACTGGGGGTTAGTCATGCAGGCATGTGGCACCTGCGTACCTGACCTCAGATCCTCACACCACCCCAAAGCAAAAGCAGGCATTCACCATACATAAATTACATTGTTAGGATAAAGTCATCAAACTGGTTTCATGTGGGCTGAAGCCTAAGGCATCCAAAAAAATTCTTATTGGGCACACTATTCCAAAGGTTGGTGGCTAATTTCCCAGGACCATCCAAGGGCCAGTCCCAAAGCAGGTCTTTCTGAGAATGTGCACGGTTTGAGCAACCCAGGCCTGCTGAGTTAACCATTTCCTGTACAGAATCCCTCTTCCTTTCCATGGTCAAAGGGGGTTCAAAGGCTTTCAAACTTTTGTGACTGCAATCTACTATGAGAAATATATTTTATATAGCAATACAGTAAACACATACTACATACATAGGTAATGGACAAAGTTTCATATTAGTTCATTCTACTAGTTATTATGCACTAGGTATATTTCTATTGCATTTTATTTTCTTAAGCTGATCATGGCCCACTCAATTAATTCCCTAACCTTCTATCGTGTTACAACCTACATTATGAAAAACCAAATATGCAAAAGAGTTGAAATGTTTAAAGTGCTACAGAGCTCGAGGACATTATTTTAAGAAAGGTCAGCCACATTCATAACTGTGCTACACTAGGGATTCTTAATTGTGATAGTTGACAGGAAGAGTATTGCATAAATAAACAAAAACATAGCACTACAGGATGAAGGGAGATTCTGACTAAGCTACATAAACACAGTCTACACTGGTGAAATTTTAACCAAAGGCAGCATTCTCTCTATCACCCTTCAGATCCTTCCTCTCAGTACTCCCCCTACCCTATTTCTCTTCATCTCCCTTCTCCTCTTTCCAATTCAACATACAAACCCACTCATCATGGCCTTTTCCCTCAAGATAGTGTCTTCTGAGCTGAACTGACTCCACCTCTCAAGACTCTCATTGGTTTATATCCCTCTAGAAAGCACAAAGGAGGGAAATAATCAGGTGATGTAATTAGCCCAAAGTGTTAAATACTGATGATGCCAATAGTTACTCCTCCTGGGACATTTAAAAAAGGAGTTCTAGAATCGACACTATTTTAGAGCTGCCTCCTCCCCTAAAAATCAGGCCTTTTGGACACTGGCAAGCCTGTGGGGATGGAGTTTTGGAGAATATAAGACATGCAAGGTCCCTCAAGTTCTCCCATGTGGCTGAATCCATAAAGAGCTCCTGGTTGACTATTTGACCCTGGCAAATTCCAGCTCATGCCACATAAATGAAAGGTGAAGACCTTGATTTTACAAAATATCAGCCTGGTGCATCTTACACAGACTTTGGTACCTGGCGAGAAAAGTAGGAGGAGAAAGGTGGCAGCATGCAGATCTCACACTCATGGGGAGACGAGCCCCTCTGCTCGGACTCCATTTATGACAGTACAGTTACTTAGCAAAGAGTCACACAATAAACCCTAAACAAGAATTACATTATGCAATCATAACATATGCACGTTAAAGGGATTTTACAGATTGTCTCAATCAGGGAGTGCCATGAAAGGAATCCACACATGGACATCTGACTTCCAATTCAACGTGCTCCCTGATACCACACCACCTTTCAAAGGCATCCCTTGAAACCTCTGCTTGTTTTTCTAGATCTAGTTAGCTTGGTTTTCCTACATTTGAAAAGAAGTGTTCCAATGAGTATTGACATAACAGGAAAAAAAAAAACTGATCATCTAATAAATCTGTTGTGTCTCCAACAAGCCTAGTCTTTAAATACACACAGCAATTTATTCAATTACTATCAATCTTTGCAACATGATTTGTGGGTGACAAGAAAAATAATACACATAAAAGTGGCTTTGATGCTTATGATGCTCACATATAAATATATCTACTGATCAGATTATCTGAATCAGGCTGCTAATTTGTGGATTGATACTATTTGTGGATTGATAGCTGAACTATTTGCCAGCTTTAGTCGTTTAATTCAAGTGATAAATACTGTATTTGCTCCCATAATTCCTTCTCGCCCACACCTCTTATAAAGAGATATTTTACAGCTGAGAAGGAAATTATGCAGCCTGTAGGATAAATTCCTCTCCTGGCAGATTGAGTGGATGTAGCACCAGAAGCTCCCAGAATAATCACAACTTCAAAGGTCATAGGTAAGTATTTGAAGGTAGTAGAACTCAACCTAATCTTGCTGCAGGTAAGCTGTTGGGCACCCCTAAATTCTAATAATTGAATTTATTTTTAACAGAGACAGATACATCTTTCCTAACTATTTTCTCAATTTTTGCATAATTAAAACATTCCAAAGTATTTTTGGAGGCGTGTAGGTCTTTGTAATACAATCTGTTATGTAAAATATCTAAAGGCAGACCAGAGGCAGTGGTTCACACCTGTAATCCCAGCACTTCGGGAGGCCAAGGCGAGCGAATCACCTGAGATCAGGAGTTCGAGACCAGCCTGGCCAACATGGTGAAACCCTGTCTGTATTAAAATACAAAAAATTAGCCGAGCATGGTGGTAGGCACCTGTAATTCCAGCTACTTGGGAGGCTGAGGCAGGAGAATCACTTGAACCCAGGAGGCGGAGGTTGCAATGAGCTGAGATCGTACCATTGCACTCCAGCCTGGGCAACAAGAGTGAAACTCTGTCAAAAAAAAATTCCAAAGGCAGTATTTCAAATATACCAATTCCATTAAACCGAATGGCAAAGTCCTGTAGGCTTTCGTGATGCTGATTGTTATAGAGCAACATGCCCCTTATTATTATTTGGGGAATGCAGACTTAAGAAGTGTGTCTGTGTGTGTGTGTGCACACAAGAAACATTTCCAGAGCCTACTGTAGGAGGTATTATTCACCTTCTATTAGGTTACATGAGCTGGGGTCACAACTCCATGTGACCTCTGTGGTTAAAGGTACAAAATATGACAAGGGTAAGTCTGCACCTTTGTCACTTCCCAGGCAGGGTTCGTGCAATCTTCACAAGGTGTCCTGGACTCACTAAAGGTACATTCATGGAATCCTGAGTGTTAGGTGAAACAGAGACTAAATATAGCATGATGGATCCAGAGGTCATCCTAGCTTACACTCAGGACAAGTACTGGGTACCTCAGGCTGTAGAAGGTTCTTCCTCCTGGAGGAGAAGGGGAATTGGCTTTGTACTGATCCTTGGGTTAGAAGTTAAGAAAGAGTCAGCTGTCAAACCACAAGCCACATGCAAACCAGTTGGCAGTTCGGTTCTCCCTGCTCTTTGATGTCTGAGGAAGACAAGCTCCAACCTCTGTCTCATCCTAGTGCAAAGACCACAATCTGCACTAAGATTTCTTTCAATTGCCAGGAAAGATTTCTTCTTCTGGCCACCTCTGCTGGTGAGTTCCTTTGTCTATGCCTGTCCTTTTTCCAGACTATGCAATGAGATACAAAGTCATGATGAACTGGACGTGCAATTCAGCTGCAACCCCAACTTCACGCTCCACACATACACACAAGACAACACTTGCACAGGGCAACTGTTAGTCTATAAAATTTGCCTTAAAATTTCAGGGGGGAGCATCCATGGCAGGAAGGGGGACATGCATCTTTCAATCACATATTAGGCATTGCCTAGAACTCTTTTCTTCTACCTTTATCACTAGGATGTTTTTCCTGGCCTCTACTTTCCCATGATGCTTCACATCTTTCGCATTCTCCAGTTTCTTCCCCTTTTTTTTCTATTTCTTCCTCTCTCCTTCCCTCCCAAAGGCAAATGCAAGTGTCCCCTACTCTCCACTCAGCATGCCATAAACCGTCTATCTGTTGCTTGGGTCCTCAATGTCTCACTTGCCATGGTCAAGCAGCTTTTCAAAATATTTTTCCAAAGAAAGAGAATTCTCTGGTTAAGAAAGAGTCTGGTGACAACTCATAATAATTTATTACTTTTTCCATCACAAAATAATTATAAATGAAATTAGCATCTTTGTAGATCCTCTTGCTCTACCTCTTCCATCACCTTCTGTAGCCGAATGTAAAGTTTATTCTTGTTTTATTTTACTTGGTAAGAATGTTGGTTGGCAGGAAACTCTAGCAGTTCTAGGATTCCTCCCATTGAGAGGGGGAGTTGAATTCTCCTCCCCTTAGATCTGAGTTGGCCTTAACAGCTGAGATAGCGAATTCTGGATATCAACTTGACCAGCCAATGGGATGCCCAGATAGCTGGTAGGACATTATTTCTGGATTGTGTCCATGAGGGTGTTTCTAGAAAAGATGAGCATTTGAATTGGTAGATGAAGAAGATCCATTCTCACCAACATAGGTGGGTGTCATCCAATCTGTTTGATAAATCAAACAGGGAGGCTTAGAGTCCAGGAGCTGGGACAGCAGAGGAGACTGAGGCTGAATGCACACAGCACTTCACATATCCACGTGCCAAGCTCACTTGTCTCTACTGAAGGATGAGTGAGCTGATGGAACTGGAACACCCAGATGTCTTCTTAATACACTGGAAGGAGGGAAATGGTGGTCCTTTACTGCATCGTGAGCCTTCATCCCCACATACACAGGGGATAACTGGCCCTGGTTTGGGATATATGGTTTCCTCTGCCTCCATTTTTCCCATTTTTATGTGAAAATGATTGTAGGCTGGAAAGGATTCTGGGAGTGCCAGGTCACTTACGTGACTTCTGGAGGTGCTGCTGTAAAAAGCATGGCACAAAGGCCTCTTCTCCTGGGCTACAGCACTCTGGGAGGAGCAGACATTGAAGTAGCACAGCACCCCCGAGTACCGGCATCAGGGAAACTTACATATGGCTGCAGGACTTGGCAAACTCTAAGATCTTAGGCCCATTTTATGACTTCCTGTCCTCGTCCACTAAATGGAGAAAGTGGTGACAGCCCAGTCAGTCTCGCACGGCTGTTGTGAGGTGCATGGGTGATCAATGAATAACAGCAGCAAACGTTCACAGAGTGCTGAAGCCTTACTCTGAGTGGTAAGGTGCTGCAATGTGAGCATTGGCACCGCTGATGACGGGATGGGTCCTCATCTTACCCTCTGCATGTGGGTGTTACACCAAGCCCTGTGGTCCTCCGTTGGTGGAATGATGCTATTCCCTGGCAGCTCTCTTCCTCTCTGCCTGGCGTTTCCCACATCTCCCCATCATCATCCATGTGGACCACAGCTTCCTGGGGAGAGGCTCACAGCTCTTTCCACATTGTATCCTCCACAGTGGGGGCAGTGATTTTTCACATGTCTACCCATTTGGTCACCAAGGAGTCTTGCCCTTTTCCCAGCTCTGCCTTCCCCCTTCCACCAAGTGCACCCCTTAATGCCTCATGTTTCTCCTGCCACTTTGCCCCAGACCTTTCTAGATCCCCAAATCCTCCTCCTTTCACTCTTGCACTTGCCCATGTGTTACGTAGCAGGTCTCTGATCTGTTTTGGGGCTGGAGGTCATCTCCACAGTGAGAATTTGAGCTCACTGAGGTCAGAGGCTATTTAAACTCACTTGCAATTTTCAGAGCTTGAACATCATGCTAGAGACAAGTCAGCACGGCAAGAATGCTTGCTGAACTGCTTAAAACATGACATGAATGGCATAGGAATGACAGCTAAGTAGGAGAAAAAGCTCTGGATCAGAACCAGAAGACCTGGTCCCAACTCTGACTCTTGAACTACCTGAGACTCTAGGCTAATCTTTTAATGTTCTCTAACACTTCCTGCACAACAAGAGGTTTGGATCCGCTGATCTACAAAAGCTCAAAGTCATCAGGCAGCTTCTCCAACCGTTTATTCTTCCCCTTCTTTCTACTTCCCTCTCCCTGAGCTTTCTCCTTCCTTCTCTCATCTGCATCTTCACCCTGCACCACATCCCACAGTGGGACTTCTTCACAGCAATTCCCCACAGAGATGCTCTATCACGCTTTTATCTAGAGGAAAATTTAAAACACATGGACACAGAATTCAGAATGTAAACAAATAAAACCCAAAACTACATCTTGACATCTTAGACAGCAAAGCTGCTGTATGAGTGTTTGTGTGTGTATGTGTGTGTGTGTGTGTGTGTGTGTGTGTGTGTGTGTGTGAAATTTGGAAAGTTTTATTTGAAACCTGGGCTGTCAGCTCTGCTGTACACCCAGAGTCTGGTCAGCAAGAGACACCTAGATGGACAGTTCTGTGGGCAGCATGGGGTGAGATTCCACATGATCACTCAGACTCCACAGGAAAAGAGTTTCCTGCAGACACCAAAGTGAATGAAGGTTCCATGGACTCTTATATGAGCTCCAAGAAAAAGACTTTATATGACCCATGGAAAAACTGCACTTAATAGAACATTATCTGTTATGGTTACTGGCCATGGTTGTTCAATAAAGACTTTACAAAAGTTGGGGCATAAGTGCAGAAGAACTAATTTTGGGTCATGATTTGTAAGCTATTACTAAATCAATAATAACACCATCTTTAGAATTTGGAGACAGCCACATTATAAAAGTGTTTCTTCTTGATACAATTCTTTAATGACTATTCACTGAAGAGGGAATTTGAAAAGCAATACAACTGCTTTGTATGTGCTCCTTGCTTCGTAATAAGACAACTCTGGAGAAAGAATGATCAGCTATTGAAGCTAGTTACACTGTGTGTATTAAATATGGAGCCTGGTGTTGAAAACTAAGAAAAGAAAGAAAGGGAGAGGGATAGAGAGATAGGGAGGGAGGAAGGGAGGGAAGGAGGGAAGGAAGAGAGAGAGGAAGAAATAGAGAGATAAAGAAAAAAGGGAAGGAAGGGAGAAAGAAAGAGGGAGAAAGAGAAGAAATAGAAAGAGAAGAGAGAAAAGAGAAAAGAAAAGAAAAAGGAAGAAGGTAGAGGCAGATAAATATTTGACAGAGGTGGAAGGGAGTAAGGAGAGGCTGGCTTTAGACAGGATATTTGTTTTCCTCTTATAAACATTTCATTATTCACAAAATTAAATTTAAAGAAGATAACAGACTCTTAATAAGCAGGGCCCTGTTAGGAATAGCCAGTCATCTAAGGTTTGTAGCCAGAATAGACTAGGCTTGTTAAAAATGGTGACAGTCATTTTTCTTCACAAGTTATTAATATTAAATAGATGCATCACAGATAGCAAACATGATGGAGGTTTAAATTATTCATTTGTGTGTAGAATCATTTTAAACTGTTTTCTCTGTTTATTGTATTTGTTTTGCATTTTTCCATATTTCCCCTACAAACTTGCACTAAGGGCTGTACTTAAAACTTTGAAGATATGGGGGAAGGAGATATTTGAGAAGTTGTACATTGTGGTAGAAATGCCATTACAAACTCACTCTCATCCCAAAAGGATCTCTCTTAATTAAGAACAAACAGGCTCAGGAGGCCCTGGGTCTCTTCTTCTGCAAGAGAGAAGCTCATCTGCAAGAAGCCTCCTGTATTTACATTCTGCTCATGCAAATGTGCTCAGCCTTGCTTTTAATGAGTTTAAGTTCACCTTGATTTCCTCTGAGTATAAAGAGCAACAAATGCTTCTTTTAATATCACAGTCACCCTTTGCCCTTAGCAATGGGAACTGCCTGGAAGGCTCTCCTATGTAATGTCATGGCAACCACTCTATTGAAAAGCCCAGACAAGCTGGGTTGTGAGCTTAGAAAGCTTGTGAACTGTTCCTTCCTTTCCATATACAGGGACACTTGCCTGTTCCTAGACTCCACAAAGAGTTGTCTTCAACTCATACAGGGGAAAAATAAAGGCATGACTTGGAGACTAGTTGTAGAGTGGATGAAATACTACCAAATGGGCAAAAAATGGTCTCCGGTGTCCACTCTCATCCCCTTTCAGTGCCTTTCTCCTGCTTTTTACACCAGCAGCCATTTTTCACCCCCTTATTGATCTCAAGATCATTGAGCAATTAGAATGTGCCAGGCACTGTGTTGGCCTCTGTGGGTTCTGCAATAAACCAAACAGATGTTCATGATCAGTGCCAAAGAAAGCAACCTCTAAGGGGACAGCGTATTTCAGGTCATCTACAGCAGGATAGGGGGCCTCGTGGTGGCCTTGTCTTGATGGATATAGGAGTGGGGGTTGCAAATCACCCTGCTGTGGCTACCACATATAACCCTGAGTGCCCAGCTGGTTCCATGGATATGCATAATAATGACAGGGCCATACAGATCAGGTGTTCCTCATTCATGTGAATTTCATCTGGCCCTGCACTCTGCCAGAGAAAGTTTTTCAGGTGGACATTTCAATATAAAATAAACATAACCTTTATGTGATGCTTTATGACTCTCTTTGTATTTACGAATTCCTTATTTCATCTTATCTCCTCACTTATGAAGAAGAGAAGGAAGATATTAGGAGTATCTATGGATTAGCAAATGGAAGCACAGGATCACCCTAAGTAAGGATAAGGTTTTGGCTAGGTTTCAAGTATTCTAATTCTTTCTTTCTTTTTTTTCTTTTTTTTTTTTCTTTTTTTTTTTTTTTCAGGACAAGGGCTCACTCTGTCATCCAGGCTGGAGTGCAGTGGTGCCATCATAGCTCACTGCAACCTTAAAATTCTGGGCTCAAGCAATCTTCATGCCTCAGCCTCCTGAGTAGCTGGGACTACAGGCACATACCACCATGCCCAACTAAGTTTTTGAATTTTCTTTTTTTGTAGAGACAGGCCCGTACTATGTTGTCCAGGCTGGTCTCAAACTCCTGACCTCAAACAATCCTCAGCCTCCCAAAGTGCTGGGATTATAAGTGTGAGCCACCATGCCCAGCCTCCTCTAGATATTTTGAAATATACAATAAATTATTGTTGACTGGGCACGGTGGCTCACATCTGTAATCCCAGCACTTTGGGAGGTCGAGGAGGGACAATCACTTAGAACCCAGGAGTTCAAGCTCAGCCAGGGCAACACAGTGAAACCCCATCTCTACAAAAACTCAAAAAATTAGCTGGGCTTTGTGGGCACATGCTGTGGTCCCAGTTACTCGGTAGGCTGAGGCAGGAGGAACACTTGCGTTTAGGAGGTTGAGGCTGCAGTGAGACATGATTGCACCACTTCACTCCCACCTAGGTGACAGAGTGAGACCCTGTCTCAAAAAATATATATATTGTTAACTATAGTCACCCTACTGTGCTGTGGAACACTATTACTTATTCCTTCTAACTGCACGTTTGTACCCACTAACCAACCTCTTGATGATTCCTTTTCTCCTCTGATGCTCTTGGCTTCACATCCTCCAGGTATTTGCCTTGGTATTATCTTTCCTTCATTGCTCCTTGCCCACCTACTTCTTGGAAACAATCCACTTTCTCCCTCCATACTGCTGTTTTCTCTCAGTTCACTAATGGCTCAAAATGAAGTGGCCTTTATTGGAGAGGATGTGTAGAAAGGGAAACACTTGTGCACTGTTGGTGGGGATTAAATTAGTACAGCCAGTGTAGAAAACAGTATGAAAGTTCCCCCAAAATCTAAAACTACCAAATGATCAATCTCTCAGCTGGGTATATATCCAAAATAGAGCAAATCAGTATGCTGAAGATATATCTGCACACCCAGCTAATTTTTTTCCAAAAACTTTTGTAGACTTGGGGTCTTGCTATGTTTCCCAAGCTGGTCTTGAATTCCTGGGCTCAAGCAATCCTCCCACCTCAGCCTCACAAAGTGCTGGGATTACATGTGTGAGCCACCATGCCCAGATCCTCAAGTCTTGTAATTCTTTATTGAGATGTTTTATTACTATGTATACCAGTTACTTGGCTTCTCTGAAAAAAAAAAAATAAACCTACTTTAAAAACTGAATGTTTCCATTTTTAAAATTGTTATATAATGACTTCCTAACTACCAAGCACATTGCAGATATAGCAAAAAACAATAGACAATGTCCTTCTCTGAGGGGGAAACTGAAATGATAATCTGTCAGTATTTCCTTGTTCAATGTCTTGATAGTGATACGTGTTGAGAAGAAGATAAAACAAGACAAAGAGATTGTGTGGCGGGGGGAGAGAGATTTTAGGTAGAGTGGTCAAGGAATGCCTCACTGCGGAGGTATCATGGGGCTGACTTGAATGGCAGGAAGATCTATGAGAGAGCCTTCGGGGCAGAGGAGCAAAGGCACTGATGCAGAAGGAATGTGATATATTTGAGGAATAGAACGCGGGCTGATATGGCCAGAGCATGGAGTGTGCAGGAAAAAGGGGTCTTATAAGGGCCGAGGAACAGGGCGTGCACACCATTGGAGGTCAGTAAGGAGCTTTGGTCTCAGATGTGCAAAGGAGGCCAGGTACTCCAGGGGGTGATGGATCTGACTTATGTTTTAACAGGATCCCTGCGGCTGTCTTAGGGAGAATGGGTGTGGGAGGGGGAGTGGAAGCAGGGACCTCTTGGGAGTGACTTCAGAGATTCCAGTGAGAGACAACAGTGGCTGGGGCTGGATTGGTGCAGCCCCAGTGGGGAGGTGGGTGTACTGCATGGATTAGGGGTATATTTTGGAGATGGGATCGATGAGGCTTGCTGAATGGTTAAATGAGGTGAAAGGGAAAGTGAACGAATGACAACCCCAGGGCTTGTGGCTTGACCACCTGGGTTGGTGGTGGTGCCATTTACTGAGATGGAACACTGGTGGAGGAGCAATGGCCGTGGGGATGAGGAGCTCTCTTCTGGCCACATGTTAGCGAGGACATGTTAGACATCAGAGTGGAGTGGTCAGATGGGCACTTTGAAAACTGAGTTTGCAGTTCACTTACGAAGATAAGGCTTGACATGTAAAACCAGGAATCCTCATCATATGGCCAGTATATGAGACTAGGGCATTGAGAAGCTCATCCAGGAATACAATGCATCCAGAAGAGGGCAGGCAGATAAGACTTCAATGCTGAGAGGTCACGCGGGAAGACAGAACCGGTTGAGGAAATGGAAAAAGGAGTGGATAGTGCAATCGAAGGGAAAATCAGAAGAGAGTGTTTCGAGATGGAAGTCAGCTACATCAAACGTGGCTGAAAAGTAAAATTAGATAAAGGCCATAAAAGTGGTGAGGAGAGAGGAGATTCTGGATCTCCACAAACCCCTAGATTTCCTTGGGTTTGAGAACAACAACCAATATTCAGGCACTTCTTACTTTCTCATTTCATTAAAGCAAGTATGTCAATGGGAAAACAGTTTCTCCAGCATTCATTTAATGAACTTCAAGTGCCTGGATGAAAAATTGGATCATTCTAAAGGGTATTCTGAGACCCAGAAGGAATGAGTTTAATAAGTATCCATCATTATCAAGCAGGTGCCGTGAGATTAAGAATTAGATGGTTTGACCTTTAATGGGATCCTTAGTGACTGCTTTATCCCAATTCTTTAGAACCAGGATTGCTGCCTCATTATCCATAGCAGACACACTCAAAATGTGAAGGGAGGCTTTGTTTTTAGAACATGGAGGGGTATCAAGTAAGAGGATGGATGGAAACAAAAAATACAAGCAGAGTAGCTAGCCCATGATTTTTTTTTTCTTTTTTCTTTCTTCTTTTTTTTTTTGACACAGAGTCTCACTCTGTCACCCAGGCTGGAGTACAGTGGCAAAATCTCGGCTCACTACAACCTCCGTCTCCCAGGTTCAAGCAATAAGCGATTCTCGTGCCTCAGCCTCCCAAGTAGCTGGGACTACACGTGTGTGCCACCACACATGGTTAATTTTTGTATTTTTAGTAGAGCTGGGGTTTCACCATGTTGGGCAGGTTGGTCTCGAACTCCTGACCTCAAGTGATCCACCTGCCTCAGCCTCCCAAAGTGCTGGGATTACAGGCATGAGCCCAGCCCCATGCATTATTTTGACCAGAACAATGAGGTAGTGAAATAGCTTATTCATGGTCATAGATAAGGTTGGCCTTATGCTAGTATAAATTTGAAAGCTTCTATAAATGGGGGTGGAGGTGGGGAGGCATTTACTGGAGAGAGAAGTATTCTTGCCTCTAATAACTTTTGGGCTCAGTCAGAAATTCCCACAGTTCTCATCACTTCGGTAGAATTTATCAAGGCCTCTGCTACATTAGGGTCTTTTTATTTTAGCCCTGCTTTCTCAAACACATTAAGTCAGCTTCAGTCAAAAGGACCCTATTGGAATTAGGTATTAGGTAGTGGTTCTAGAACCTAAGGAAAAGCTGCACTAGCCAGGGCAATCCTGGGCTGGGAAGAGCATGATGAGAGAGCCTGGGAGTTGAGGGCACCTCAAGGGCAAAGGGGAGCGAGGAAAGAAGAGCGGGAGGTGGCCCTCGGTGGCTGGTCACTCCTCCCTCACAATGTGACCGGGATCTGATGGAGGCTCAGACTTCCTAAGGCAAAGGATAGTGGGGTTATTTGAAAGGGACTTGGATGACAGCTGACAATCTGTCCCTTGTACACTCCTAGTGAATTTCCTAAACAAATAGAAGCATGAGGAGCAGAGCAAGTTCCATGCCAATCAAGACAGGAAGCTGAGAAGAGAACATAGAAGATAAAGACAAGAAAGTAGGCTCAAAATTATTTCCCTGTGCAATCCTTCTACAGAGAGGCCAGCCTCTAAAGGTTTGTCCACATAAAGTAAGAATTTTACAGTATTTTTCTAAACATTATCATCTGACCCAACAGAAAGATGTGAAGTAAACACAAATAGATTTTCCTGTTTTAACTATATTTGGTTGTATGTTGTTTTTTTTTAACTTCTAGAACAAAGACCTGAATTTGTTTAAAAAAAAAAAAAAAAAAAAAAGAAACTTGAGGTTTCTCTGAGGAATACACACTGGACTAAAAGTTTTGTTAATTTTATTATTTACCTTGGGCTTCTCCCCATAAAAATTTAAACATGGCAACAAAGTGGTTAAATACATCTAACATCGAATGATTAAAATGAAGTAGGAGAGATTTGTGGTTCTTTTCATAATAGAGTCATGAGTAACCAGGCTTCCTCTCTCACTATAAACAATTACACAACTAGGGAAAATATAGAAAGCAAGTGTTTTTGGGAAGGGGATTACATACGCTACAGGACTATGACCCTGGAGGTGAAGGGGGAAGCATGAGGGGGCTCCTCACTTGCAAGGGCTCTCTGCTTAGGGCTGTTTTCCGGCCTGGGAGAGGCAGAGACTATCAGAGAGCAGTGGCCTTAATGTGGGAGAAACAGAAATCAGCGAGTGAGCCCGTGGAAGAGGCTGGAATATGCAGGGTTGATGACCAGATGTCTGATCCAGACCCACCCTGACAAAGCCACAGCCTGTTGTGAAACAGCCTCAACAGGACTGAGCTCACAGCCAGTAAGTAAACTGCCTCCAGAAGAAAACACAAACTCTCAAAGGAATTTTAAATATTCAGATTCTCAAAAATATAAGATCCATAATGTGCTACATTCAATTAAAAGTTATTAGGCACGTAAAAGATAAGGAAACTGCCAATAACTAGGAAAAAATAACTCCATAGAAATAGACCAAGAGATGATGGTTTCAGTAACAAGGCAAAAACTTTACAACAGCCATTGTGAACTGTTCAATGATTTAAATGAAAAGGTATACTTGGTACTTCCCATTTTCAATTGGGTTACTTGTCAGTTTGTTATTGAATTATATAGCATTCTTAATAGATTCCAGATACAAGTCTCTTGTCAGATATTCAATTTGCAAAAGTGTTCTCCCATTCTATGAATTGTCTTTTCATTTCCTTAATGGTGTTTGATGCACAAAAGTTTTTAATTTCAAAAATGCCCAATTTATCTTGTTTTCCCTTTGTTGTTTGTGCATTTGGTGTCACATCTAAGAAACAAATTGCCTAATCCAAGCTAAGTATTGTCTTCCTTTTCAGATATTGTACTTTTCAGAATTTTCTCGAATTTCCATCTGGTCCTATTATGCATTAGATGTAGGGCTATGATTTCCTCTAGAAATTTAATAGTTTTAGTTTTTAATTTAGATCTTTGATCATTAGTGTCTTTAAAGAAAGGTTTCTGCTTAAAAATGAAAGACAGCAAAAAGGAATTCTCATGCAAAGCGAAGGAAATAAACAAAGAAATTGAATATATGGACTAAACCTGGCTCTAATAGTGTCTTCTTTGTGACCCCAGGACAGTTGCTTAATGTTTCTGAGCCTCAGTTGTACCACTTGTGAAACGGAGATAACACCTACTTTGCCTTTTTGTTATAATTAAAAAAAGATATTACATATGAAAGTGCTTAGTGATAGGTGTTTTTGACATTGTTATTGTTCTATCATTTTGTACAGTTTCATCATAAAAACATTCACACGGGAATCACTATTACAGGTCTTAATGTCTGTTCTCCAGCTTACTAGTTCTACGATAGTAGGAATGTTTGCATCTCTGAAACTCATTTCCTCGTCTGTGAAATGAAGAATGGATTCGATAATCACTCAGGCCCTTTCTAGAACTAAGCTTCCTGTTATTCATCTCAAGAATACATTTGGCAATTTTTTAAGATTCACCCTTAGGGAATAACATTTTCTTTAAAAACTCGCTTTTTTTGTTGGACAGCCTTGGCTACCAGCACCAACCACTGCTTCCAAACAAATATTTATTTTAAGTGAGATGGAATACTTCAGGTAGACATAATAATATGCAAAATTGATCTCTCTTGTCTTGGATGTTATGTTCTTAGTGAACAAATAAAATTTTTAACATTTCTGAGTTTTTCAAGTTTATGAACTGAGATTTATTTTTTAGATCTGACAGCCCACTTAAAAATGATGAATTTTTTGTACTCCCTATTGAGAAAAGCATAGATTTCAACTGCCTATTGTGCAATGGAACAGCCCAAAGACAGGGTTCACTCAGAGTGTTAGTGCAAAACATTACAAATCAAGCAGTGGCATCTCCTGATGCAAACGCCAGCTGAAAGGACAGATTCTCATTAGCATCAGGAATGTGAGGCTCCATGCAATCATTTTTCATTGCTAGAAAGTAGGACAGTCATCTGTCCCAACATTACTCTCCATCCCAAGAGGAAGTTCTGTGATGCAATATGCAAGCCTTCAGGAACAGAGTTGGGTCAAGGGAGTAATTTGTCAGGACTTTCTTCCTTGGGAGAGTGGAGAGGGAGAGCTATTTGTGGCCCAGGGCAGATGATCAACCAGCAAGGAAACAGGAGGGGGATAGGGGTATTATGTTAAAGGTTATCCTGCACTCAACAACATTCTCAATGGCATATTGGAGACCTACGCTAGGTGCTGCCACGCCCAGATGAATCCACTCTGGTGCCACTCAAGTTCCCATTTCTACTTCTGACTATTTCTGATCAGGATGGGGGCCAGATGAACCAGTATTTGAAATGCCAAATAAACAAAACCAAATACCATTCTTCAAGGGTTTTCTGCCAGGAACCAAATGGAATTGGGCACAAGTCTGGCATGAAAGCCTGTTCTTAGCACAATTTCAATCCACTTGCACAGTTGGGTTTTATAAAAATTTCCAAACTCTAGGCCACTTCAATGATCTCAGTCTAAATTTCCCCAAGTCAAGCTCTCTTCATTCATCACTAATAAAAGCAAAAGCCCATTTGTATAAATAAATTAAAAAGGGAAGCATTCTGTGATTTAATCCTTAGTTGCTATCTGCATCAATGCCACAGAAAGGTAGACACTGAGAACAAAACCTAATCCTGTGTTTTATTTTATAGTTTAAAACAAAATATTGACATGCACGTAGATGAGCTCATTAATTCATGAGAAAGCATTTGAAGCAGCAGGCAGTAGAGATTATGATAAATAAATAATTCTCGTTTAATTGATGAGTTTGACTCTGACTTCCATTATTTCAGATGAGAACTGAATAGTGGTCTGGGGTGGAGAGTTTTCTGGACTGTTTGATTTTGCAACATGCCAGAGCCCTCTGGGCTTCCATTGTATGTGTCTATAAAATGTCCTCATGATAGCTCAGATGAAAGTCGTATGCACATGTTTGCTGAGGCAGATTTGCTGCATTCTGTTTCTGAAAGGTGTATAAAGCTTTGCCAGACCTTGGAGAAGTTAAGCTGATTTGTATTCTTTATTTAGAGGCTTTTGACTAAAGACAAGAATCCGGGTTGTTCAAGCTAAGTCGGATGGGCCTCCTCAGAGGCAAGTCAGTCTCAGGGCAGGAAAAGTCAAATACTTACAAACCTTCAAAGGAAAATAGATGACACCTCTTCCACCGACTCCCTCCTAGCTGGGCATTATAGCAACTAGTCTCAGCTGTATCTACTTTTAATTACCTATGTGACTTTAGGCAAATAAATTTTGCTAAGATGTCAATTTCCCTATGTAAGATACATAAGTTGGATGAAATGCCTAATTATAAAGTTGTCACTGCCTACAAGTGTCTGAGAACATGGTTTCATACACGTCAGGTGCTTTCATGCTTGGGTTATATAATTTAGCTACATCCTTACATCTTTTCATGGTTGAGGGGCTGACTCTGGGGTGAGAAAGTGGCAGCCGCCTCTGGAGTGAGGCAGAATCTAGCTACTTCATGCTGTGAGGGCTCAGGGCCCAGCAGAGCAGAACAAAGGGCACCATCCTTTCCCTTCTGAAAGGATAGCAGGAATTAATGAGCTGGTATCTAATTACTGAATGTGAGCCATGGCAGGGACACAAGAGTGGAGAACATCATGAATTTCACGGTGTGGCCAGGACCCCTGCTTTCCATCTCATTAGCAGGAGACCAGCCAGGCAGGGCTCTGGGTTCCTTCCCATGGAGCCAGGGTGAAGCATCAGGGATGGCTCACATGGGGTCTGGAAACCCGCTGCATTCTCAATTGCATTCTCCTGCAACCTCAATCTTCAAAGGTCACCAGGTCAAGGTGAGCGCTGGCTAAACCCTGTTTGCCTTACAAGGAGGGTGAGCTCACAGTTGGAAATCCTGGGCTGGCTGGTCAGGCTAGAGCAGCAGAGATGCCTTCAGACCATATGCTGTGGACAGGTGGTGGCTCTCTGGGTGTGCTACAGGCTTTTGACTCCCAGAGAAACTGGCTGAAACTGGGCTCAACTTGAACAGACATTATCATTAGGGAGAGCCAGCTAAAGTGAGAAGAAACACAACCTATTAAGACTAACTCTTGCCAGGCCATCAGCTTCCAAAAAAAAAGGTCCTCATCAACTTATAGTGGAGCAAAACTTGCTTGGAAACATACCTGGGATATGCTGAAGAGAGAACAACAATGGAGACTATTTTCTCTGGGGGGTGGCTAACATGCAGAAGAACTCTTGTGAGTTAGAAATAATATTCCTGGCCGGGCGCGGTGGCTCACGCCTGTAATCCCAGCACTTTGGGAGGCCGAGGCGGGCGGATCACGAGGTCAGGAGATCGAGACCATCCTGGCTAACACGGTGAAACACCGTCTCTACTAAAAATACAAAAAAAAAAAATTAGCCGGGCGTGGTGGCGGGCGCCTGTAGTCCCAGCTACTCGGGAGGCTGAGGCAGGAGAATGGCGTGAACCCGGGAGGCGGAGCTTGCAGTGAGCCGAGATCGCGCCACTGCACTCCAGCCTGGGCGACAGAGCGAGACTCCGTCTCAAAAAAAAAAAAAAAAAAAAAAAAAAAAAAAAAAAGAAATAATATTCCTAATTACTGTACTTATTGCAGCTGCCAAGCGGGAGAGATGGACTCTGCTGTGAGCTTTTCAGAGAGAAGGTTCTCAGGATAGGTAAGTAGAAATGTCTTCTACTTCTACATAGAAATGTGTTTCTATGTGGTAATGAGAAAAGATTTAAGCAATATTTACTACATGTTTTTCTCCTTCAGTCATTGAAGACTTGATTAAACCTATGTTGCTAGTCCCTGTGGTAATACAGCATGCTCAAAACAGTAAGAAATATCTTGTAGTGGAAAAAGTACACTGAAATGGCAGTCAAGAAATCTGAGTTTTGATACCAGCTTTGTTCTGCCTCCAAGGTCAATGGGTATGTTCCAACCACACAGCCCTGGTGCCAGAGCTGAGAGCTGCCCACGGGTTCTCTGGCTCTCTTGTTTCTCAGGGGTGTGGACTTTTGCAAGTCACTTAAATTCTCTGAATCTGTTTTATCATCCTTAAACAATAGGGAGATACATAACTACATCCCTGGATTGTTGCAACAATACAATGTCAGTAAAAGCATAGGTTTCATGCAAAGATTTTCACTATTTAGATTCATTGCCTTACGGTCATTAATAGTGGTGGAAACTACTGCATGTGTTCAGCAGGGTCCTTTTCTTCTGAACATCCGGGAGGACACTGCCCACACTCCGTTGCATCTCGCTGAGCCTCACGGCATGTTATGCCTCAGTTCAGGCCAACGGAATATGGGCTAAAGTGATGAATGTCAATGCCAGGCTATCTGTAGCATGACCACACTCTCTCCTCTGCCCACACACCTGGCTGTGAAGGATCCCGAGGTGTGTGACCACAGGAGAACTACCTCACTATCTGTGGAGAATTGGCTCCAGAACCCCCTGTGGATACCGATTCCTGCAGCAGGCCCTGCAGAACCCAGAGATGCAAAAAGATGGCCCTCTGACACATTCTTTGGTGAAGCTATTGAGATGTAGGGAGCGTTGGCTAAAAAAGAAATCTGTGATTATCTGGAATAATATGTTAACTAATTATGTGACCTCAAACAAATTTTCACTCTAAGTACTTGCGGCCTCATCTAAAATGGGGACAGGAATATCTGTCCAATTTTCTCTTACAGGTTGTTGGGAGAACTAAAACAAGAGAAGCAATTAGAGGTGATTTTGCCTGGCAGCTCATCTGAGAATTTTTTAAAAAATGTAGATACCTGAGTTTTCCTGAATGACCAAGCAGAGCAGCTTCTCAGGGGTGAGACCCCAGTGTGTGCATTTTTAATGCTTGATCGGTGATTTTTCAAGAACAACAAACTTTGAAAACCACTATTGTAAAAATTAATTCACTTTAAAAAGTGAAAGGAACAAATAACAATGTCTATACTCACAGACGTTGAGTGAATGTGGGATTCTTTTATAAGAAGCCCAAAGATACATCGACATTCATGTGAGAGTAAAGTGCTTGCTGAATAGACAAATGTTAATGGTGTTTCCTCTGCAGTCATCTGGTCCCTATCCCAACACTGGGGCACCACTCACAGTCCTCCCCATGGAAGTCACACAGAAGGGTGCTGTCCAGGTGGGTGCAGGCAGTGGCCCTGTGTCTCTGTGACCCATAGCATGACTAGGCTCTGTACACAGCCACCTTCTAAACAACCAGTAGTTTGGGAAGAGCTGAATATCTTCTCAGCGGAGCAGCTGTAGGAGACAAAAACTCAGCCCCCTTTCAAGGGGAGGTAGCTTCTCATCTAAAAAAGTCCAAGCTGCTATATCACTCTTACCTGAGCCAAATACCCAGCAGCACCAACCAGGGCAATTCAAGATTTCCTCACCTATATGTGGGGTGACCATTAATAATTACAGCAAACAATTAGTTATCGAGGGCTTCCTGCGTGCAGATAGTCTTTTAAGTGCTCCCTGTAGATTAGCTTATTGCATTTTCTTGGTAACCTTATGATGCAAATACAACCATAGCCTCGGTTTTCTGGTGAGGAGAGGAAGCAGAGCACAGATAGGTAAAATAACTTAGGCAGAGACCCACCAGCTGTCCGTGCAGAGCTCAGCTTTCAACTCGGGCCACGTGGCCTCAGAGCCTACCCTAGTGATCGAATTACACAATCCTTTGCTTTGCTGGTGGAAGAGACCTCCATTTGTTGAGCCCTTTTTGTGATTTCAAAGGCAGCTGAATTTAGCAGTTGAGCACACCTGTGGACATTCAGAAAGAATCTACAAAGAACCATGGATAACAGAACCCAGAGTGAAATCTATTTCTGCCTCTGGACACTTAATTTCACCTCTTGCTTGAACAAAGGCCATCTCAATGCGAGCAGATAGGACTGATTCTGGCCCTCCCTAGACATAATAAAAACCTTGAACCCCAACATCTTGGGGCCCACCAAGCACCAAGGGAAAACATCTGTGATGTGAGCCCACTGTTGGTTACTGTTTATCTGTTCTCAACAATGCCACGGATTATTATAGGGCCAAGGTCGGGGCAGATGCTGCTACCTCGTATGTGCCAGTTCCCCGTAACTGTACCTGTCAGCACCCCTTGGCACTAACCTATCAGTAAGGTCTTCAATGAACAGGCTCCACTGAGGTTTGGGTTCCTCCAGCCCTGCAGCTGCTCATATTCAATCCAGCAACAGCCTCACCAAGACTCCAGAAGCTTCAGCCCGCCTGACCCCATTGAGATAAGGTGAGCAGGAAAAAAGTCCCTCACGGAGCTCAGCGCCTAGGAAGTGCTGGCTGAGTGGCCATGGGGAATGGCGGCAGTGAGGCCCGCAGGATCTCCATAGCCGCCAACACTCTGGGATGCAAAGCTTAGAAGCTCATGCTTGCAGCTCGTCCAACCGGAAGGTGAAGTGAGAGTCCAAGAAAACCCTACCCACTTCTCTCCTCCCATTCCCTGGGGTGGGTCACACCTCCCTGCTCCAGCACCCCCAGCCCCCACAGCCCCCCAGCCCCCACCAGCAACCATCCTTTCTTGACAGAACCACAATCCCCGAGGTCCAGCCTCCTGGGCGATGTCACCTGCCTCTGGGCCAGCTCCCTGCTGTGGTCCCTCCAGCTCTCCTTCCTGAGCTCCCTTCTTCAGGCCTGCCTACTTTCTTCCAGCCTGAAAGCCTAATTTTTCGATAAGCTATTAATTAATGTTAATGACTTCACATACTTCCTTCCCAGGAAATCCATTTTCATTTTCAGAGTATTCTTAAAAGTCAAATCCCGGGGTCTGACCACAAGGACAAACCACCAAGCGTTCGACCTTTCTCTGTGGAGCTCCCAACAGCACTAGTGGAACCTGCTAAAGTTCAGCCCCCGGCCCCTGAGCAAAGCCAGGCCAACCGGGGAAGCCCTGGATAGGACCGGCCAACTTCTCAGATGGCCCAGGCAGCCATTCCAGGCTATTCCATAAGGCTAGAGCAAATTAGTTATTTTCTTGGGGTAGGAACTGTGATGAAAGGTCTCCAAGATGAAATCTGAAAAATAGGCCTTTTCAGATAGTCTTGGCTTCTTTCAATTGTTTGACAGTGTATATACCCTTGGAGAATAAGAATTTGCATCTTGCTTACCATTACTTTTCGTAGGTCATGAAACAAAGTCCTATGCTTTTTTTTTTTTTTCAGGTCTGATTGTACCCTCATTTTCAAAACCAGGAATGCACAGAAAAAGACAGAAGGCAATGGCATCTTTTGACATAACGGACTATCATGACCCTCTGTAAAACCATTAACAACTATTATAGGCGACAAATGTACAGACAGCATATATTAGGAGTAATGAACCTTATTAGTGCATTGGTTCCATATGCATATCTATGAGAAAGCAAAATTGTAACATTGGGAACAAATGAAAAGTTAAACAAAATTCTCCATATAAACTACAGTCACTGACATATAAACTACAGTCCAAAGCTGACAGACAACATTCCACATAATGTTATAGGGACGTGGAGAAATGACTCCTCCCTCTCGAAGGCAATCTTTGCAGCTTCAAACCGTGCACAGTGACATTCTTTTAAAAAAAATTCAGAGTTAAAAGAACAACGATTTATCATTGTTTACTATATATCAAAAACACAGCCATTACCAAAGCCACAGAAAACCTTCACTTACACATTTTTATTTTCTGCATTCTAGCCCACACCTTGGAAACTGAATCCCTTTCCTTCATCGAGAGTTTCCAAAGACTTTACACTTTGGATATATTATGCCTGATCTAACAATAAAACAATGCATAGATATCTCCCCACCAAAATGTCTATCTCAATTAATTTGGAGTTTACGAGGTTCTTGGCACAGTTCCTGACACGAAGTGATTACTCAGTAAATGTCACCCTCCTCACCCCTATGTCTCCATGAACCCAGGAAATAGCAGGTGCTTCTCCTCCGGTAGCTGTGCAGTAAATGTTGATTGATTTACTAACTGATGACAGAAAACAATTTCAAAAATTATACTTCTTTACCATTCAGCAATCTTAACCTCAACAATGTATGGAAAGAAAAACATTGACGGTGAGGGTAAAAGCAGGTCATGACAATCCACTCATGCTTCTACTACAGCTACCATCCTAAAGGCTTGCTGGACATTTCCAGGGTCCAGAGAGATCACTAATAGCAACAATAAGAGCTTAAGAGTAATCTAAGCATGTTAATTGCACTAACGGCCTCAATTCTTCATGGTTCCCTTTACTTACAGTCTGTGTACACTGCAGTTACTTCTGCAAAAGGGATAGAGCCTATTTCCCCATTCTTTGGCCATGGGGCTTGCTTGGAGCCACAGAAATGAGGGGGAAGTTCCAGGGCCTGTTCTGAGCTTAGGTCTCAGGAGAGCTTGCATGCGCTTGTCATGGCCATGCAAGGACCATGCCTCCAAGTCCCAGGAGGCAGAGAAGGAGAGATGCATGGAGCAGCCCTGCTCAGAAAAGATGCCCCTGGCAAGGCCACTGCCCAGGCAGAAGCAAGCAAGCCAGTGAGCTGACACACAGTGAGGCACACCCCAGATCATCCAATATTCAGGAGGAATAGTCAGTATTCCTTCTTTTATTCCAAACCCTTCTTATTAAAGATGAAAATGCATGATTTTCATAACATGATGCTGTCTTAAGCCCACTAAGTCTTGGGGTGCTTGCATAGCAATAGCTATATGATACACTAGCAAAGACATCCCCAAAGAATCACAGGACTCTGTGTTAGGAGAGTGTCACATGCGCTCAGCTTTTATCAAATGACTATTGATTGTGAGCCTGGCTAAACTGATATAATACTGATTTCTCTCTTAAAGCTTTCCTCACTGTTCCAAACTAACATACTCAGTGTCTACACAGGTTTCATTTTTTTTCCTTCCATCCTGTTATTGGGGACACACACATTAGTGAAGATTCATAAGCTCTAAGCAGTCACTTTGGATGCTATCCTGCAGCCACTAGACTGCTTCGTAAGGAGTTCTGCGGGTCACCTATGTTGATGACAGCCAAGTAGAACTGAGCAAAGCAGTTCTTGTAAAACCAGCATCAACCTCACCTTTCCCTTTACATGTAGCCTAACCTTTTGGAAGTCTCAAAATTAAGCAAGGCCCTTTTCTCCTTTCTTGAAAACCTGTTTAAGAAATCACACTTCATTCTTTTGCCCTCTTTCCTTTTTTCTCATCCCCTCAAAAGGCCCTGTTTTAGCCTGAACTCAAGGCTCCAAAACGCATGAGGGAAGCGACACTGACATTTCCAGGAAAGGAGACAGTGACAGACTCAAGCAGAGCTGGGCCACAGGCAGAGGCAGGGTGTTCCTGTCATCTGTATTTCTCTCTTAGAAAGTGTGTTACCAACTCTCTCAGTCAAATCCACCCTCATATGCTCTGTCCTCTGGGCTTGGGCCTACCTTCTCAAGCAGTCACTCAGGCTCTAAGCAGAGATGGCAAATTGAGACACATATGACATGGCCCCTCCCTCATGTGCCTGTCATAGACGTCATGGACTGACCTCAGCATCCTCAGGATCCTCCCCAACATGGTCCCACCAAGTGATGGTTTTCACTTTGTGATCCAACTCTATCCATCTAGATCCACCCATATTCCATCTCCTATCTGCACTCACTGAAAAATAAGCCACCAAATGACTACAGGTTTCCCAATAGTTTAGAGACACCTACTATAGCCTAGGTATTGGGCCAGCGACTGACCCCGTACAATAATGAATGAGACATAGCCAAATTCTGCAGGAATTCTTGTCGTTGAGAAAGATTTTATCCTTGAGGGGTGTAATGTTGAGCAATGAAGACCTTTCTGGCAATGTAGCAGGTCTATAAAAGAGATATGTGGGATCAGGCCTTGCTTTTAGTCATCTACAAATTATATTATATAGGAAGCTACTTACTACACTTCAGAGGAGGAAGCTGGTAAGAGGCCTAAAAAAGCAGTCAAGGCTCATTGTCCGTAGGATACAAAAATACGCATGACATGAAGAGACTGAAAGCCTGCACTGTGCTAAATGTGATGGTTCACTCAAGCTACATGTGAGCCATCTTCCTGTTTCCTCCTCTTAAACTGCATGCTTTTGTCAGTTTGTTTACTTAAAGTGCTTTTTGAACTCAGGAATATACAAAAAGCGTTGGTAGAGTGGCAACTTGGAAAACACACACCTGTGAAACAATACACAGTTCAAATACGTAAATGGTAAGTACCAAAAAGTGGCACAGACAATGAAACCTGTAGGAGTTCAGAAAAGCCTCCATGCTCCGTGGTAACATCTGCACAGCTTGGATGTTACCAAACCGTCTCAAGATGCCACCAGGAATGAGGAAACAATCGTCAGTATCTGCTTTCACTCCACTAGGGGAACACAAGGAAATCACGTGGATTGCCTTCCCTCATTGCATCTTACAATTTCAAATACAGGGATTTCGCCCATTAATGGTCTACAATAGCCTTTCAAGCAAAGCCAATCTGTAGGAATTTCCAACTGTATCTTCATGACCAGAAGAAAAGAGAATAAAGCATTATTTAGAAGAGGTAAAGGCCTTGGAGGTTACCTTGCTCCATGATGGCCTAATATGCCTTAACATTTTGACAACCCTCAGTGAAAACACTGGAAAGATTTATAAACTGCCAGCAGTGGAGCTGTCAGTTCCAACAAGCATGCCCGAGGGTGGGGAGGCAGAGTGAGGACAGCGCTCCAGATGTCTGACTGACTCCACTCTGCCAGAGCCAACCCGCTGCCATGGTTTTATGTACTGAACTTCCTTTAAGACTTTGAAGAAAGAGCTCAATAGTTGGACATCACCAAGTCCTATCCTCTCCACAGGATGGTAACAGGGTTTACGTACATAAGTACATACATAATTGATGGGCTATTGATTAGGGCATGAAAAGACATTTTCACACCACCATTCAAGTCTTCCTCCCAGGCATGTTAGGAAAACATCCTCTGAGAAAGGTCACAGTGTTCTCCTGTGTTTCCAGAATCTTGACGGAGAGGAGCCTCTAAAATGAAGAACGGATTGCTTCTGAGCTTCCATGATGATCTATGGGACATCCGACCCTAGGCTGTGCCTCACTGCTGGGCTGATCTGCAGGGGATGTGGAAAGAGGTGAGGAGGACAGGGATGGAAGGAGCTGGGCAGCATCCTCAGGCATCCTGGGAAGAAATCAGTGTCCAAGAAGGAAACCCTTCATGAGAACTGCCCCCACCTTGTCATCTGCCTGTCCTCTGTCTCCTTATCCTCGCCCTTAGGGTGGATCTCTGGGTCTGGGTCTGGGCCCGGGCGGCAGATACCCTGAGTACAGTGTAGCAATGTGACTTAAAGCCTGGAGTCCATCAGTGCCCAGCCTGCCAGCTGTGACCCTGGGCCAGGGACTCAGGTTTATGCCTAGAAAAGGGAGGTCGCAGTGGCCTCTAGTCATAGAGTGCTGTTTGGATTGCACAGATGAATACGCGAAGAAGAGCAGCTGGCACCCATAAGTATCCAGGAAACGTCAGCTATTGTCAGTATTCCTTCTTTTATTCCAAACCCTTCTTATTAAAGATGAAAACTTGGAAGCCAAAATAACTTCTCTAGGTCAGGAAACTCGGCTCTTCTGATATAGAGACTGGAACCTCTGTACTCAGCCTGGCTGGTGCCAACTTGCCAGCTGGATCCTTGGCTTCCACATACATACGCAGGGTGCATTCTCTCGCCTACTTGAGCCCTCCATAAGCATCCCTCAGTGTGGGCTGTCACCAGAACCTCTCTGCATCAGCAACCATATATCAGGCACTTAGGAGACATCAGTCAGTCATTGATTTCATCCTGCTCTCAGCAGACAGGGAGCTAAAGCCATCCTCAGTGCAGCTGGCCTCCAATCTGCAAGGAGCTAGCAAGGACACACAACCCCATCTATTGCTGGGCTCTGCGCTGAGTTTTACAGGTTTTGGGGGAATCTTTATTCCAGCATCTTGATTTGAAATGAAAATGTCAAAATATTTTGCATCTGCGAAAGAATATTTAGTTTCTTTAGTAATTTTCCACACTGGTTCTGACAATCATAAAACATATTTGTGCTCAAAGAAAATATTATCATGCCCGGAACCTATTCATTCTTCATCCAGACACTAAACACATATGGTATTGTAAACATTGCAAAGCAAATTTACTTAGTCTTATTTTCCCAGCTATCTTATATATATATTTTCCACCTTTGAGGAGCTTGAGTTTTTCTTTCTTTCTTTCTTTCTTTGAGATGGGGGCCTCACTTTGTCACCCAGGCTGGAGTGCAGTGGTGCGATCTTGGCTCACTGTAACCTCCCCCTCCCCGGGCTCAAGCAATCCTACCACCTCACCCTCCCAATTAGCTGGGACAACAGGCACATACCACCATGCCCAGCTAATTTTTGTATTTCTAGTAGAGACAGCATCTCACCATGTTGCCCAGGCTAATCTCAAACTCTTGAGCTCAGGCGATCCACTTGCCTTGGTCTCCCAAAATGCTGGGATTATAGGCGTGAGCCACCCCCCACTGCCAAGTTTTTTTTAATGTATCTTATTTCTCCAGCCAAACTGAAGTCAAAGATAGATACTAAACTATAAAAATAGCCCCTGCCTTAAGGAGTTATCCTTCATAGGACTCTACCTCCATTCAGAGGAACACAGTGAGCACTCGGCAAGTACTCACTAAAGAAGCCATAGATTTCAACAGTAAACGCCAAATGCATTCAGAAAAGGAAAAAGTTACTCAGTGCCCATAAGGTCAAACAAAGCCTTGCAGATGTGATGGGGCATGCCATTGTGGAGAAATAAGATATGAGAAACAAGTTTCACAGAATAGTCAACAATTCTAGATATCAGGTTTCCAAACTGCTTGCAGGGTAAGTGACCTATCTGCACCATGCTGCAGATGACCTCAGGAAATTAATTCTGCATCTGGAAGTTGTGCAAACTCAGAAAGTTGTAGCCCCAGGGAAATAACTCTCTTCTGACCCTTGTGACTCAGAAGCATTGATACTGCTCGAGAAGATTGTCCCACATCACAAAACAATACAGCTCAGGTCCTGGACAAACTCAACTCACGTGGTGCCCAATGCTCCTCCCAGAGGAGAGCGGGGCTGCCCACGTGGAACCCTGCCACAGCTGGACAGGGGCATGATGGAGCTTAGCGCTTCACCTGGAAGGAATCAGTCATCGGCCAGCCACGTTAAGTCACTTGAGAGTCTCACAGAAGCTCTTTGGCTCTCAGGCTGCCAGCTCACTCTAGTTTCTGAGTTAATGAACAAAAGATGATGTGTGTTAATGCAAAGGCATAATTGACTCTCTATCAATGGGATTCCATTTATTCAAAAGATCACTACTTAGCACTTTAGTCTGGGGTGTAATGAAAATTGGGGTACATTCTTCATAGACTCATGTCTTCACAGTGCTAACAGTCAAAGAGTAGCCAATTCTATAAACACCATCTGTTACAAAAGCTTTAATAGGAGGATAAAGGGCAGTGGGTAGATGTCACTTACAGGGAGCTGTTCCTTAAAACTATAAATACCATGAAGAAAAATAGTGTAATCACTTCCCATCTCATTACAAGTGAGTGTTTAGTTGGTTTCCTCTGATGTGCATTCCATTGCTTTCCTCAGAACCATGACCACGATGTTGCTGTCATTCTCCCTGGATACTAAGGTCTAGCATAAGGTAGTAGAGGCAGATGTCCTGAAGATTCTGAGCCTTGGTACCAGGGGATTAACTACATTTAAGGGTCTGGGATGACAGCTCCCCTAGCATCCTTTTCTACAACCTAAAGATAGGATGTGGATCAACTTTATAAAACAATGTCAGTGGTTGCTGAGAAGAGCAAGGATTTATTCGATTACTGCATTCTTATACCATGAAATTAAATATAGAATATTTGATTGAATATTCAGGAACTTATTTTTCAGCTAGTTCTGGCACATTTTGTTAAATATTTTTGGCAGTTTCTAAGCATAGTCAACTTTTAACATTTTCTTGCTCTCCTTTTTTTCCCTTCTACCTAGAGATACGTCTTTGTGAAGCTGAACTTGGACTGTAACCTCTTTTTGGTCTTATTTTCCTAACTGTTAAATGAAGGATGCTGATGTTCCTTCCAATTCTCACAGTCGGTGACTCGGTGGCAAGGCAGACCTAGACAAGACACTGTCACCTTCGCGGAGACATCCTGATGGTGCTGGACCTTTCTTCAGGTTCTCTTTCACATGTCCCTTCAACAGGGCCACCTTCCATGATCTCACTTCTGAAATCAACACTCCTCATCACTCCTTGTTCCTCCCTTGATTTTTCTCCTTAGCACTCCTCAGCAGCTGCCCAGTGCTTCTCTATTCTTTTCTCCTCTTATTAAAATGTAGGTGGCATGAACGCAGACCTGCCTCCCTTGTAGCCTGCTATAACCCCAGCACCCGAACAGCAGTGCTGCATGTAGTAGACGTCTAGGAGCTTTTTGTTGTTGGATGTTTGATAAATGCATTTGCCTTATCTGATTGTTGGATGCCTTAATTTTTGTGTGCTTAAGAGGAGAGCTGTGTATAAATGAACATTCTCAGTTTGAATACAAAACAGGTGTGTGTGTATGTGTGTGTGTGTGTGTGTGCTGTGCACCCTCATACTCAAAGAGAATAAAAAATCCTCTATTATAGGGAAGCAAGCTGGAAGCAAGGAGATGGGCCTTAAGTGATCACCAGGTGAATGCCTGGCTTACAGCAGGTGCTCAATAAAACATGGGATGAATGAAACTGACATAGAAACTGTGTGTTATTTACTCGTTCACCAGATAAACAAGATGTGGCTGAAGACTCAGACATAATGGGAAGTGAATATTTAAAAATAAAATAGAGTAAAACAAGGTTCCCAGCTTGACCTTGGCTCAGAAAAGTTTGAGCTCTTCTGAGCTTCACCCAGAAGGAAGCTCAATCCCAAAGCCAGAAGCAGCGCTGGTGAGTGGGGAGTGGAGTGAAGATCTAGCATCTAGCCACTGCATTTCATGGTGGGGTTTCCCTCCAATTTAACCTTGGAGGACCACGCCATGATTTCCACTATAGGACCTGTCATGTTTCATTGCCATGGTGGTTGCAATGAACATATATAAGCAAGTACAATATTCAGACATCCTGAAGTAGTCATTAGTGTCATTGAATGGAGAGAGAGAGAGAGAGGCATAAAGATTTTCCATTTTTTAAATTCAGAGACAATATTACCTTCCAAAAAAATTGCCTTGTCATTTATTTTAGTGATATTGCTATGGTTGAGGGCACCTTCATGATGCGGGTAACTCCAAACAGAGCTCAACATTCATATAACATACATACACATGATTGGTTTCCTTTTAGAACAACCATTTCTTTGAAACCCAACCTCATCTCACCATATCAACCACTCTGAATATCTATTTTATTAACTGTTCTTGACATTGAATTACCTTTTGTCGTTTGTAGACTGTAAAAATTACCACTATTGGAGACGATTTAAACATTCGACAACATAAAAGTTATTCAAAAGGCTTGGAAGGACATTATTCAAGAGGGCTGCAAAGGTAAATGAGTTTGAAGGGAAAATACACACCCTACATTCTGGTGTGTACTTTTCCAGTCTTTTTTCTAAACAAATAGTTTATAATAGGCTATAGTTATAAAATATTTACACAGAAGAAGATTGCTTATTCCAGATGAGCCTTAGGTCATGTTTTGGGGGAATTGGACAGACATGGAAGTGCCATGTCTATCTGCTAGGATGGCCAGAGGAGGTTTTCCTGAGGAAGAAACTATGAGATTGAACCTTGAAGGATAGGCCCAGAATTTTTAGAACTTCTCCATCCCTACATCTTTCTAAGACAGGAGGAACTGGTTGCCTAATAAAAACCTCCAAGAAATAATAATTTTTAAAAAAGTTCAAATACAGAACACTTTTATTTCATCCTAAGTAAATTTGTATCTTTTCAAGCCAATACTACGTGAAATAAAAATAGACATTTGTACTTCTCAAAGGGCATTAGTTTCCCTGTCTTCAGGATGTGTCATCACAGTGGAGTGTCTCTTGAAACATCATCTGATGGCTGCAGTCTCCAGTGCCACCAAGAGTCAGTGCCATCTGTTAACTCATCCATGGCAACAAACCTGAGGGCCTACTGGGTGACAGGAAATGAATGAGACATTGGATTTACTACAGTAAATGACACAATCCTAGCCCCTGCAGAATGTTGCCCAGATACCAAAACCTCCACGTTTTTGTCAATGGTTCCTTATAGTATAACATAAATAGCACGGTCAACAAATGCCATAGAGGTTTGGAAGCAGCAATGATCACTGTGGCCTAAGTCTGTCAATGACTCCTTGGAGGAAGTGATGTTTCATCCAGGTCTTGAAGGTAGGTAGGACTTAGGTAAGAGTGAATGCCATATCTCCCATCTGGTGCTTTTATTCCCTCTCAGAATTACCTTTTCTCAATTACACTTAATTACTGTATGCCAATATATACCGATAGCACATTCTAAGAGAAGCTAATTTTTTTTCTAGTTGAAGGGTGTTATTGAGCACATCATCAAGTAAATCTCTGTCACATTGCATCTGCCTTCTTCATTCTTTTTTTCTTTTTTTTTTTTTTTGAGATGGAGTCCCACTCTTTCACCCGGGCCAGACTGCAGTGGCGCTATCTCCGCTCACTGCAAGCTCTGCCTCCTGGATTCACACCATTCTCCTGCCTAAGCCTCTCGAGTAGCTGAGACTACAGGCATCCACCACCACCCCTGGCTAATTTTTTATATTTTTAGTAGAGACGGGGTTTCACCGTGTTAGACAGGATGGTCTCAATCTCCTGACCTTGTGATCCACCCGCCTCGGCCTCCCAAAGTGCTGGGATTACAGGCATAAGCCACCGCCCCCGGCCTCTTCATTCCTTCTTAAAGGAACTCACGGGATAAACTGTCCTTATGTTTCACTAGCAGGAAATGGCTAGTGAATGGCTGCTTTGTTTTTATCAGTGGCTACTGTGAATAGCACCTCAATGGCTTTCCCTCCTTGCCATGGCTATTAGGAAGCTCAGAGCTCAATCTGTGGTTTACTTCTAGCAACTGCACTGAAGCACAGACTCCATGTCACCGGTCACTCTGAGATTTGTTGTTTTCTGATTCCTTTGCTCCAGGCAGGCTGGTCCCTCAATTATTTACTTATAAATGTAAAAGACATTGCACTTTTGAAGTTTCTAAAAATCACATATTGAGAAGACAAACTCAAAGTAAATAAAGCAGTCTAATGCTGGAGCACATTTCACCTAAGGGAGTCCAAATGTCTGCTTAGGGCAAATAAAAAGGCCCAAAAGCATCTTCTAAAACCAGTTAAGTGAAACTTATCTGTAGGGACATTTTATGAACAGCATAATTTTAGTCTTTCATAGGCACTACAAGAGTGAAACTTAATTTATACCTTAAGTCAATATTAATTTTGACTTGTATTATAACTAAAAAAAATTACTTCCCAACTAATCAGAATTTCTCATGAAATTAAAATTTTAGGAGAAGCTTTTAATAGAAAGAAACAAAACAGAAAAATAAGCTTAAATCACTGACTTGCTTGAAATGAGCAACTTCTGGCAGATGTTCAGGAATCATTAAAGATACAGCCAAATCACTCAAGCTGTATGTTTCCTGCAAGTCTAAATCCACTGTTGTTGAGATGGATGGCTCTTTCTAGACCCTGCTAACCAGGGCACAAAGGTTATCACAGACATATAGAAAAGAACTAACAACCAATTTAATATTGGATATGAAAAATGATTTTTTAAAAATTAGCCCTTGGGTAACTTTAAATCTAGTGCATTATCACGTACTCCACTACTCCTTGAATATTACAGGTGAAGTTTTATTGAAAATTGATGGGGTTGGCACCATGGCTAGGCAGAGAAAAGTTGCTGTTACATGGTATGGTTTGAGAGAACTGCCTTCTTAAAATTGTGAATTCTACTTTTTTATTCCCTCATTGTAGCTTTGTTCTTTGGAGACTCTAGAGGAAAGGCAGATGGTATGGTGAAATACACATGAATTGGGAGTTAGTGGCACAGCCTGGACTAGATCTTATATCACTCAACCAGAGAGGTCACTTAATTCACTTATAAAAGGAGTTAGAATATGTACCTATAAGGTTGCTTCCAGATCTAGTACTGGATAGTGTAATTCTATAATATTAGCTTATTGACCCAATAGCTTCTTCATAACTCCCTCATTGTAAGGAAGTATCCCTGATCAGGCAACACACTTAACCAACAGCTTCTAGAATCGTTAGAGTTGGCACCTTAGCCAAGATTGGCCAGAATTGGGGCATACAGGTGCTTCCCTGGCTAAAGACAGGAGATGTACTGGGTGGCTGGGAAAGAGGGAGTATTAACTGTGGTCTACTTTTCAGCTTGGTTTAGAACCCCAAAGAGATCTGGGGAAGATGAGAAAATGATTAGCTTTACTCAAGCAAGGGTAGAGGAATGAAATGAATAAGATCATTGAGGTGATATAACTCTGGAACCAGAACTCACACCCATTATGATTTCTAGCCTTGGTTGACCTGTTATCTACACATGCATGAGGATGAAGCAGGTTGTATGGGGTGGGGTGGGGACAAATGCACACACACTCTTTGAGTTTACAACCTTGGGTTCAAACAGTAACCAGCTGTGGTTTGTTGTCATTTGCTGCCGAGGTTGATACATCACGAAGAATACAAATTTCATCAAGAATATAATTTAAAGTATCTTTGAGGCAGAGCTTTTTAAGGAGAGCTGGGCTCTCAGCAGATCATTCTCACACTGTATTTTTTTATTCAGGTGAAATAAAATTTAAATGAATATCAGTGTCAACTTTGAAGAAGACACAGGGGGACAGCCTAAAGATGTGTTTGTAAGAAGATGGGATCAATCTTGGTGCTAGATCTATTGCTTCACAAGAGTTCATTCATCTGTTCATTGCATCAGCACTCTTGAAACCCCTGCTAGGTTACAGGCCCTGAAATAGACACTGATTCAGATACAACCTTGACAAAAACAAAGCTTACATTTTAGTGAAGTCTAAACTCTGTGGTTATGTAGAAGACTGCTGCCGTGAAGCAGGAGTGTGGCTTCTACTTATGATATTTCATATTTAGTAGAAGGATAAGAAAAATGTTTGGATGCATGTGTGTGAATAATGTGAATATAGAATTACCAAGTATACCGGGGAAGGAGGAGGTAGGGGGAGAGAGCTATGACTTCAAGTTAAGAAAATTGGAAAATCTTGTGAAAAAGAAGGTATGGGACCTGTATTTTAAATAATGGACAGTATTTCAAGAGATAAATATGAGGGATGAGAATTTCAGGGACAGAATGGGCCCCTTATAGGGTGAGGAACTGCCTTACAGAAGCAAGGAGACAAAAACGTTTAGAGCTTTTTTGGAGGAAGAGCAAGTACCCCATTTGGTCGTAGTGTCAATTGTATGTAGGAGAAGAGGGTGAGGATGATGGAATAATTAGAGCATAAAGGACTTCAGCCAATTCTGTGATTAAACTGACAATGAACATCTGATAGCCTGGAATTGACATGATTAGGCCTGGGCTCTCCATAGTGATCTGATAGCAGTGGGTAGGACGGATTAGATGCTGGAGAGGAGAACAGCAGGTGTGGGGCACACCAGGGGACTGTTCCAATCATGGAGGATGCAAGTGATGGCTATAGGAAGAAAAGGGCATTAGTTATAGGACACCACACTTACACTGGAGAAAGAATTGTCAAAATGTGGTCACTTTACTATATGTAGTAAATGAAAGAGATATTATAAGTGTCAAAGATGGATAACTAGAAGAACAGGGATATTAATAAAAATCAGAAGTCAGGAATAGGAACTAGTGTGTGTAAGGAAGCCCAGTGAAGTAAGTTATTGTTGATAAAATGTGATAGGACATTTAAGTGGGATTTAAAAGACAATTGCAAATGAAAAGATAGAGCTGAGAGCAAAGTAGAGGTGGCCTTATAGATTTGGGAGGTACTATGGTCTGAATGTGCCCCCCAAAATTTATGTGCTGGAAACTTAATCCCCAATGCAACAGTGTTTGGGGGGTGGGGCCTTTTGGGAGGTGTTCAAATCATGAGGCTCCACCCTTATAAATGCAATTAATGTATTTTAAAAAATGGGGTTGCAGGAGAAGGTTCGTTCTCTTCCACCTTCTGCCATGGAGGACACAGCAAGATGGCCCTTGCCAGATGCCAGCACTTCGACCTCAGACTTTCCAGACCCCAGGACTGAGAGAAAACAAATTTCTGTGCTTTATAAATTATCCAGACTCAGGTATTTTATTATAGCAACACAAAGGGACTAAGACAGGGAGTGTAATAAGTTAAAGATGGAGAGTAGTTGTGGGGAAGGACTGAGAGTAAGGTGCTGGAGAGGCAGCTGCAAGGTGGGGAAGTTGCAAGAACCTCCTGGAACATCAGTGTGTGGACTCAGCACATCCCCCACAGACCGCTGTCTAATGGACGGTGAATTACTCAGGATGGCTGCGTGCTCCAAACTGGTCCCTTAGGCCCTAAATTAACACCTGCAGGATTGGACAAAGTCATGATGCAAAGTCGGGTGCGACCAGAGGCCACTGGATTTAAGCAAATGCACATGAGTGTAACCAGGGGAAAGAAGACTCTAAATATCCCTGCTGTAGAAAATCAATGCTCCGTTTTTAAAACATGCTTAACACTTCATTTTTTAGCTACAAATACATTTCTGTTAGAATAGTTACTAAAAACCTACAAAGGAATTTGTATAGCTTTGCATGAATATTTATTTTCTTCTATGGATGTAAACTAATTCAGGAAATGTAAGTAGAAACTTGAAGGTTTCTTCCCTATTTTTCTTTTTTATATACTAAAAATTACCAAAGAAGATCACTCTAAAAGATATATAAGTATTTTTTTTTAAATATTTGATTCCCCAATGAGAGAGGCAGGCCAGAGTCATGGCAATGCCCTCTTCAAATGCTGTGAGCTATCTGCTTCCAAAAGCCGGTGTGTGCTCTTTACTTCCTCCTTTCCCATCCATCTACTCAGCCTGACGACCACAGTCTCGTGGCCTTTACGGCATAAGGGAGCATTTCTTCTCGGCATTTGCTTCCAAACACCTTGCCCTTATTACTAAATCATTCTAGGGACCCCTTTATCCTCCAACCACGAGGACTATGGGTACCACTGCACATCCCAAGGGGACTTTGTATCCTCACATTTTTGTGGGGATCCAGAAACAACCTTGACCGTTTAATAACCCAGAAGAGACATAAGATTTGAACAGACTTCCAGCAAATAAGAGAAAATCTCAAAACGAAATCTGGTCGTTCTCTTCCCAAAGCTCAATAAACTTGGACGTCACTCCTTCGTCCTCTTTTCTTCAATGAGCTTTACAATTATGTTAAATGTGGACAGGTCACCTACCCTTCCCTGAGGCCCCCACACTATAACACCATAGGCAATACCTGGGGACAGTCATGGAGGGAGGGGTCCCACTGCCATGAAGGCCACCATTAAAACAAGAGCAATGCACCTGCCTGTGAGGCACGGCGGCCCTTGGACAGGGGGCTCCAGGGCAGGCGAGGGCCAAGACCTGTTCTCGGAAGCTACCTCGTGTTTTCCAAACAATAGGAACTGGTACTAAAAGGCAAAAGCAAGCCTGAGCCCTCTCCCTTGACACCCACATCCACGCTGAATGCCTCTCATTTTATTAACTGTGTATTGAAACTGATTGCAATTCCCTGGGCAAAGCAAAAACAGTAAGAAAGAGTTGTCTTTTTGAGCATTTAAATTGTTCTCTCTGCTCTCCTGGCTGTTCTAGGGCAGAAGGATGTCTCGGAGGCATTGGGGTCACCCTGGTAGTCAGGGGCAAGACCCAGGAACCCATGTGGGTGGCAGGGGCGGGACTGCTCAGCAAGGCTGGAAGCAGGTGGGGCTGCCTGAGGGTGGGGCTGGAAGAGGGTGGGGCTTACTAAGAGATTCACTCTGGCTGGAGGAGGTGGGGCTGCCTGAGGGTGGGGCTGGAAGAGGGTGGGGCTTACTAAGAGATTCACTCTGGCTGGAGCAGGTGGGGCTGCCTGAGGGTGGGGCTGGAAGAGGGTGGGGCTTACTAAGAGATTCACTCTGGCTGGAGGAGGTGGGGCTGGCAAGGGGCAAAACTGTCTGAGGGCGGGGATGATCAGTGGTGGGGCTGGCAGGGGGCGGGACTGCCTGAGGGTGGGGCTTAGAAGGGCCAGAGCCAGCAGGGGGCGGGGCTTGCTGGGGGACTGGCTCTGGCTGGCAGAGGCAAGGCCGGCAGGGGGCAGGACTGAGGGCAAGGCTGGCAGGGGGGTGGGCTGTTGGGGGTGTGGCTCTTAGGGGTGGGGCTTGCTGGGGGCGGGGCTGGCCACTGCGAGGCTGGCAGGTGGCAGGACTGTCAGGTCAGGGGACATTGGAGAGAGGGCCCCCTTGCATCTTGCAGGTGGGCAGAGCCCTGTGTAATTGGACATGCTGTCCCTATCCTGGCCTAAAACAGTGGTCCACGCTCTCTCATCCAGGGATAACACGTGGCAAACCTCGCACCAGTACCTCACAGGTACCCACATCCTCCTACCTCTGCACCACACCAAGCATCCCCAGTGTTCTCCATCCCCAGACTCTCTCAAGCTCATTCTGGGGCAAGTCACTGCCTGTGGGCTCCAGGGACTCGCTCCAGCTGTGAGCACCCCCCTTTTCCTCCCTGGACCGCAGCTGGGGTCCTGCTTCCCGCACACGTTGGCAAGGAAGCTGGAGTCCAGCTTCTGGCATACCTTGGCAAGGTGAAAACTCGCAGGGTGCCCTGGTGCCCTGCTCCCAGGACAGCGGCCAGCCCAGGAGGACCTCCGAGCCCCTCCTCAAATGCCAAGCGCGGCCCGCCCTGTGTGCACACGTGTGTGTACACACAATCACACAACTCTCACTCCTCCCCATACTCACTCCCCCACACTCACACACTTGCACACTCACTCACACAAATCTTACTCCCCACACTCACACACTTGCACAGTCACGCATTCACCCACTTTCTCACTCGCCCACTCACAGTGACACACACTGTGACACGCTCACACTTTCTCCCATTTTCACACCCACCCACCCACTCACAGTCACACCCTCTCCTGCACACGCTCACCCACACTCACACCCGGTGCTGCACACCAGAGAGCCGCCCTCCTCCGCCCACAAGCCCCGCCACCCCAGCAGCACCTCGCGGGCGCTGTCCCTGAAGCTGGGCTCTCTGGGAAAGGGCAGGGGAAGAGCAGGCCAGGGAAAAGCTCATGAAATCCCCACCAGGTGAAAACGCTAATCCCTTTTTCTGCGCGGAGAAATCCCCGTGTAATGACCTGCGAAGCCCCCTTCCCACCACTCCCGGCGCGCTGGCCCGCCTCACTTCCATACATCATCGCTCTCCCAGCTTTCGCTGACTCCTCGTTTTTTAAGTCTTGGGAAAGCAATGCAATCTCCATAGCAATCTGGAGTTCACAGAAACTGCATTTCCGGGATTCATTTATTCCTCCGACTCACTGCTGGAGGCTAGATCATTCCTCATTTTCATGATTTCCTATCCACGCTGAGAAGCTCTTCAACTCCAGCCTGCCCACCCCGACGTGCCATCGACCAGGAAGCACCGCTTGGAGCACCCCTTTCTCCGGGCCCCGCTCTGAGCTTCCTCAGTGGGAACATCCCCCGATGCCCTCCTTGACTCATGGGGCTGGGAACGGCCTCCTTCCTGGCCCCTCTCCCTCAAAAAAGGGTGGATGAGGCCAGAACTTGGAAGACAAACAAATGTGCAAGCCTCCATAATTCTAATTCCAAATGAATAACGGTAACACTGTCCATCTCTTTGCCCTTTGCACACACACAGGCACACACACGTCACCACACCTTACCAGCACAGAAGGCTAACCAGAGGACACAGTGGTATCCACTTTCTGATGGGTCGCAACCAGGAGGGCCATCCTGGCCATTGCCATCCACACACCCCTGGAGCATTCAGACCCCCGGAGCTCCGCGGACTGGTCCACTCCAGCACTGTCAGCCCTCCTGGCTGGGAAGTGGAGCAAAAGGCGCCAGCTTCTTGTCACCCTCAGTTTGATGCATCACCCTTGACGCCCTCCCTCCCTCCTCCATCAAGGGAAAAAAAGGAGGAGGACAGCCACCCATCTAAGATTAAGTTCACTGAGGCAATCCCATCCCCTCTGGAATTCTCCAGGGACAAAGGGTAATTAGAGAGCAGTTGCTGAGCAGCTGGGGATGTTTAGGGACTGGCTTCCAGGGTTCAGGTCCTGGTGCCCCAATTTAGCTCCTCCTGGCATGCTGTCTTCCCCCTGACTCTGTTTCCCCTCCTCCAAGCTGACCAATTCCATACTGGCCGGCGACAAAGCACCCCATGTATTTATGCTGCTGCATCACTCTCATAAATTATATCAGTTTCCCAGACGAAGGCCCCTTGGCTGTGAAGGAGGATGCCATTTTATTTATGCTGCACTTACACACCTGCATACTGAACTCTATATTTAAATCAGACAACAAATCAATGGTACCAAGGGGAAACAGATGGGGAAAATCCTCCCCAGCTGCAGCACCCCACAGCTCTCTGCTGAGTCCTCCGACGGTGGCTGACCCTAGTTATGGTCAGCATGCCACTCTACCTCACGCTGCTCCTACGTCAATTTCCCCGTCCAACGGAAATGGAATGAGACTGACATTTAGTTTTCTGAGGGCAAAAAAAAAAAAAAAATGGTTTGAATTCATTCCTTCCCACTTCTGTAAATTATATGTGTGAATTACCTAGAAGGCACTCATCTGCAGACCAGATTGAGAATCTCCCACTAACTCCTTCCCTGGTGAGGGGGAATAAGCTTCCAAGAGAAGTTTTGTTCTATGACTACACAAACCATGCATTCTTTAGAATGATTTTCTAAGCCTGTTAGTTCACAAGGGGAGTCTGGGAGCCAGTGATTCAACGTAAGTAAATTGCACTGAAGCCCCAGGCATGGTACTAGAAGCTGTCTTAGTGGAGCAGTATATATGCTTAGTGGAGCACATTTACAAACAATGACACCAATTTATACTGCAATCTACTTCTCCTCATTGAGAGTTCTTCGGTTTAATCATGAATAAATTAGCAAGGGTGATGCCATAAAACTCAGGGGTGTAAAATCTTACATCTTGGTGCATTGCAACTTTTACCAAATAATAAATAACATCTCGACAAATTTTTAAATGCTTACTTTCTAAACAGTCTATGCCTGGCTAAAAATGAAACAATTCAAACCAAACCAAACTAACCTTACTCTGGATAATGTGACCGTACTATAAATTTATTTTATAAGTAGCCTCTTTTTTTTCCTTTTATCTCACAGCTTCATTCAAATTAAATGATTCAACTAGAACTTTCTCAGTATCTACTTCTGGGGCCATCTCGGTGCAACGTGCTCTACAGGATAAAGAGATGGAGAAGACATCAACATTTCTTGCTTCAAGAGTTTACAAATCACTTGCCTGGTTTTCCTCATAAGAAGTCAACAGTATTTCTTGCTGAAATTTAAATTTTACATGTAATTTTTAGTATACATTTGTCTATGCCTGTAACAAGAAGCACTTGTGGAATTCCAAAGGAAAAGTTCACCAACGATTCCTGCTAAAACTTTCAGCACTCAATGTTGTGGCATCTCAGTGATCTCAGCAGAAATCACGCTCAATCCCGGCAGGATTTTCATGGTCCTCTGGTCCCTACTTGCATGCATCCTCTAATGAGTCCTTCAAGTTTGGACTGAGGCAAGGAGATTATATTATTTCTATTTGCCTAGTCTTTTCTTAAGGGCATTTTTTCCAGATCTGTAAGATCTAAGCAAATACCTCGCTGGATCACATCTTAATTAAAAATTGTGTATCCAATTTGGGGCCTGAAGATGTGAGATGAACAGGTCTCGGTAGGAGTTCAGAAGAAGCCATTAAAAAAAATAGAAAGATAGCTTCTCTACTTAGACAAATAGAAAAAAAGGCACTGAAAATTTCCGAGGAAGACGTGATTGCATGAAATGTGTTAAAAAGCAATTTTTTTACATGAAGATTTATTTAAAGTGTGACAAACGCGTATCTATTTTCTGTTTCCAATGGGCACTGGGAAAGAAAAGGGTTTGGTTTGAATTTCATCAGAAGGGATGTAGGTCAGACATCAGAATGTGTAACCAGTGGAAACAAAGACATTTTTCTGTCTACAGCCATACAGCCCTGAACGCACCTGATCTTATCAAAGACATTTTTTCTCCCTTTCTCTCTCTGGAGGGTTTTAAAACAATGTGTGGGTGTCTGTGATTACTCAGATGCCTAGAAGTCAGAGAGGGCTACAGAGGACCTGTTAAGGTCTTTTATTCCTCCTGGCCCCAAACTGTTGCCCAAGTATAGATTTGAAATAAAGAGTTTTCTTTTTCATAGTTAGATTTTTGTTCCAGAATGTCAATTTCACCTGTTTCAGAGAGATACAGAAAGTTCATTTCTCCATCCATCCCAAATTGCCAAATCCCACGTCTAGGAAATGTAGCTTATTTCCTAAAATGTTATTTAGTCATTTTCCTTTTTCTCTCTGTTATTCTGCTCAAATTATTCAACGTCTACTAGAGTATGGAGAGTTCATTTTTCCACTGGATTTACTCAATGCCTGTCAATATAATCTACTGAGTACAAAGTAAAGAAATAATATGACAAACCCCAACTCTTTCATTCCTTAGTCCCATCTACCACACCAAGATAAAAAAGTAGATCATTTTCTCTCTGACCTGGAAGAATGGGAGTCTGGCTGGTCACATGATCAGCTGGGGATGCCTTGGGCCACCCGGGGAGCAATGACATTAGTCCTCGACAGAATTTCTTCCTACTGTGACAGAACAGGTCCCACTGTGAGTAAAGCTACAGAGGATGTCATGCTAAAGCTGTGAGCTAGTGCTGTTGCTCTTAGGGGAGTGGTGAGTCTGGGGACCAGAAGATAAAGACACAACTTTGTCCAGTCCCTCTTGATTCCTCTCCCTCCACAGATTATTTCTGTACCCCTTCAAAGTGTCTCACCTCTCTCTCTAGCCCAATCAAAGATCTAATCCCAATCCTCAGTCAGTGGGAGGCAAAGTAGTCTTGAAACATGGACCTCCACTCTCATTGGAAAATAGAAAGACACATCACATGGGCAAATAGGTACAGTACTCAGTCAGCACTGTGAGCAGGGACCTGCCTGGATCTTAATCTCTATCTTTCCCTTGTACAGTGAATGGCAGGACCTGTGTGTTCAGCAAAGGCTGGCCGATAAATGAAGGACCATTCTAGCTTGGGGAATGAAGACACATTGGCCACTTTATCCCTAGTGCACTGAATGTGCATAGTGCAAAGATTCTTTCCTCCTAGACACTGGAACAAATGGCAGAGATGAGACTGGAAGATGCACCACTCAAACTTCCTTGCCACAGATCACAGCTTTGTTTTTAAGGGAAAAGTGTCATAGAAGCCAAAAATGAGATCAGAGCACTCCACATATAAAAAGTTTCAAAAGAGTTTGAATTTTAAAAATTAAATTGAATTAAATGATGACAACCTCATGGGGGAATTCATGAAGAACAAGTGGGGATATTTCAAATGGTATCAGTACACTGTACTGTCTGTATCTCCCTCTCCTAATTCAGCTATGCGAATGCAAAACTCAGCAGAACAGGAGTCTGTATTTGCATAGGATTCATTTTTTATGCAATAAAAATAAGAGAATTCCCCCTGAAGTTGCACCTGCTCCAAGGCAGTTTCACGCACAAATCATTCAGACTGCTTCTTAGGATACCAGAATTTCCAAGGGAAGAAAAAAAGTTTGTCAAGTCTCTTCTTCGTGCCCCCTGATGCCTTCCTTTTGGGGGTTGATTTCTGGTAATATTGTCTTGTGTACATGTTTCTATGAAAAAGTTTTTCTTTAGGCCCTCCTGTGAAATGCAGAAGGAAGTATTTGCAATAAAGGTTTCTTGAACTTTTAAATTACTGCATAATTTCTGAAATTCTTATATTAATATACACATTAGATAGAAATCACAGACATAAGGAGAAATAGCTCTGACCTAAGAATTGAGATAAATTGTTTCTAATCCTGGGATACCCACAAATTTGCTGTGTGAGTGATATTCAAAGACATCTAATGACTTGCCCAAAATTTCACTTGTGACACATGTGTGTGTGTGTGTGTGTTATGGACAGAATGGTTGTTAGAATAAACAGTATCTGTAAGGAGGATTCCTGGCCAAAATGGCCAAATAGGAACAGCTCCGATCTGCAGCTCCCAGCGAGACCAATGCAGAAGGTGGGTGATTTCTGCATTTCCAACTGAGGTACACAGTCCATCTCACTGGGACTGGTTAGACAGTGGGTGCAGCCCATGGAGGGTGAGCAGAAGCAGGGTGGGGCATCACCTCACTCAGGAAGCACAAGGGGTCACGGAACTCCCTCCCCTGGCCAAGGGAAGCCATGAGGGACTGTGCCATGAGGGACAATGCTATCCAGCCCAATACTAGGCTTTTCCCACGGTCTTCACAACCCACAGACCAGGAGATTCCCTTGGGTGCCTATATCACCAGGGCCCTGGCTTTCAAGCACAAAACTGGGTGGCCATTTGGGCAGACACCAAGCTAGCTGGAGGAGTTTTTTATCATACCCCAGTGCTTCCTGGAACACCAGTGAGACAGAACTGTTCACTCACCTGGAAAGGAGGCTGAGGCCAGGGAGCCAAGTGGTCTTGCTCAGCGGAGCCCATCTCCATGGAGCCCAATAAGCTAAGATCTACTGGCTTAAAGTTCTCGCTGCCAGCACAACCATCTGAAGTCGACATGGGATGCTCGAGCTTGGTGGGGGGAGGGGTGATCGCCATTACTGAGGCTTGAGTACATGGTTTTCCCCTCACAGTGTAAACAAAGCCACAGGGAAGTTCAGACTGGGCGGAGCCCATGGCAGCACGGCCAAGCCACTGTAGCCAGATTGCCTCTCTAGATTCCTTCTCTCTGGGCAGGGCATCTCTGAAAGAAAGGCAGCAGCCCCAGTCAGGGGCATATAGATAAAACTCCCATCTCCCTGAGACACAGCACCTTTGGGAAGGGGTGGCTGTGGGCGCAGCTTCAGCAGAATTAAACATTCCTGCCTGCCAGCTCTGAAGAGAGCAGTGGATCTCCCAGCACAGTGCTCAAGCTCTGCTAAGGGACAGACTGCCTCCTCAAGTGGGTCCCTCACCTCCGTACCTCCTGATGGGGAGACACCTCCCAGCAGAGGTCGATAGACACCTCATACAGGAGAGCTCTGACTGGCATCTGGTGGGTGCCCCTCTGGGACCAAGCTTCCAGAAGAAGGAGCAGGCAGCAATCTTTGCTGTTCTGCAGCCTCCACTGGTGATACCCAGGCAAACAGGGCCTGGAGTGGACCTCCAGCAAACTCCAGGAGACCTGCAGAAGAGGTGACTGACTGTTAGAAGAAAAACTAACAAACAGAAAGGAATAGCATCGACATAAACAAAAAGGACAACAACGCAAAAACCCCATCCGAAGGTCACCAACATCAAATACCAAAGGTAGAGAAATCCATGAAGAGGAGGAAAAACCAGCGCGAAAAGGCTGAAAATTCCAAAAACCGGAATTCCTCTTCTCCTCCAAAGGATCACAACTCCTCACCAGCAAGGGAACAAAACCGGATGGAGAATGAGTTTGACAAATTGACAGTAGGCTTCAGAAGGTGGATAATAACAAAATCCTCTGAGCTAAAGTAGTGTGTTCTAACCCAATGCAAGGAAGCTAAGAACTTTGATAAAAAGTTATAGGAACTGCTAACTAGAATAACCAGTTTAGAGAAGAACATAAATGACCTGATGGAGCTGAAAAACACAGCACGAGAACTTTGTGAAGCATATACAAGTATCAATAGCTGAAGCAATCAAGCAGAAGAAGGGGTATCAGAGATTGAAGATCAACTTAATGAAATAAAGAATGAAGACAAGATTAGAGAAAAAAGAATGAAAAGAAACGAACAAAACCTCCAAGAAATATGGGACTATGTGGAAAGACCAAACATACGTTTGATTGGTGTACCTGAAAGTGACAGGAAGAATGGAACCAAGTTGGAAAACACACTTCAGGATATTATCCAGAAGAACTTCCCCAACCTAGCAAGGCAGGCCAACATTCAAATTCAGGAAATACAGAGAACACCACAAAGATTCTCCTCGAGAAGGGCAACCCCAAGATACATAATCTTCAGATTCACCAAGGTTGAAATGAAGGAAAAAATGTTAAGGGCAGCCAGAGAGAAAGGTCAGGTTACCTACAAAGGAAAGCCCATCAGACTAACAGCGGATCTCTCTGCAGAAACCCTACAAGCCAGAAGAGAGTGGGGGCCAATAGTCAACATTCTTAAAAAAAAAAAAAAACTCAACCCAGAATTTCATATCCTGCCAAACTAAGCTTTGTAAGCAAAGGAGAAATAAAATCCTTTACAGACAAGCAAATGCTGAAAGACTTTGTCACCACCAGGCCTGCCCTAAAAGAGCTCCTCAAGGAAGCACTAAATATGGAAAGGGAAAACTAGTAACAGCCACTGCAAAAACATACCAAAATGTAAAGACCATCGACACTATGAAGAAACTGCATCAACTAATGGGCAAAATAACCAGCTACCATCATAATGACAGGATCAAATTCACATATAACAGTATTAACCTTAAATGTAAATGCACTAAATGCCCCAATTAAAAGATACAAACTGGCAAATTGGATAAAGAGTCAAGACCCATTGGTATGCTGTATTCAGGAGACCCATTTCACATGCAAAGACACACATAGGCTTAAAATAAAGGGATGGAGGAAAATTAACCAAGCAAATAGAAAGCAAAAAAAGCAGGGCTTGCAGTAGTCTCTGATAAAACAGACTTTAAACCAATAAAAGTCAAAAATGACAAGGAAGGGCATTACATAATGGTAAAGAGATCAATGCAACAAGAAGAGCTAACTATCCTAAATATATATGCACCCAATACAGGAGCACCCAGATTCATAAAGCAAATTCTTAGAGAACTACAAAGAGACTTAGACTCCCACAAAATAATAGTGGGATACTTCAACATCCCACTGTCAATATTAGACAGATCAAGGAGACATAAAATTAACAAGGATATTCAGGACTTGAACTCAGCTCTGGACCAAGTGGACTTAATAGGCATCTACAGAACTCTCCACCCCAAATCAACAGAATATACATTCTTCTCAGCACTACATAGCACTTATTCTAAAATTGATCACATAATTGGAAGTAAAACACTCCTCAGCAAATGCAAAAGAACGGAAATTAAAGCGAACAGTCTCTCAGACCATGGCACAATCAAATTAGAACTCAGGATTAAGACACTCACTCAAAACTGCACAACTACATGGAAACTGAACAACCTGCTCCTGAATGACTACTGGGTAAATAATGAAATTAAGGCAGAAATAAGTAAGTTCTTTGAAACCAATGAGAACAAAGACACAATGTACCAGAATCCCTGGGACAAAGCTAAAGCAGTGTTTAGACGGACATTTATGGCACTAAACACCCACATGAGAAAGCAAGAAAGGTCTAAGGTTGACACCCTAACTCCACAATCAAAAGAACTAGAAAAGCAAGAGCAAACACATTCAAAAGCTAGCAGAAGAGAGTAAATAATTAAGATCAGAGCAGAACTGAAGGAGATAGACACACAAAAAACCCTTCAAAAATCAATGAATCCAGGAGCTGGTTTTTTCAAAAGATTAACAAAATAGATAGACCACTAACCAGTCTAATAAAGAAGAAAAGAGAAAAGAATCAAATAGACACAATAAAAAATGATAAAGGGGATATCAACACTGATCCCACACAAAATACACACTACCATCAGAGAATATTATAAACACCTCTATGCAAATAAACTAGAAAATCTGGAAGAAATGGATAAATTCCTGGATACATATACCCTCCCAAGACTAAACCACAAAGAAGTCAAATCTCTGAATAGACTAATAACAAGTTCTGAAGTTGATACAGTAATTAATAGCCTACCAACCAAAAAAAAAGCCCAGGACCAGACGGATTCACAGCCAAATTCTACCAGAGGTACAAAGAGGAGCTGGTACCATTCCTTCTAAAACTATTCCAAACAATAGAAAAAGAGGAAATCCTCCCTAACTCATTTTTGAGGCCAGCATCATCCTGATACCAAAACCTGGCAGAGACACAACTAAAAAAGAAAATTTCAGGCCAATATCCCTGATGAACATTGATGCAAAAATCCTCAATAAAATACTGGAAAACTGAATACAGCAGCAGATCAAAAAACTTATCCACCATGATCAACTCGGCTTCAACTCTGGGATGTAAGGGTGGTTCAACATATGCAAATCAATAAACATAATACATCACATAAACAGAATCAGTGACAAAAACCACGATTATCTCAATAGATGCAGAAAAGGCCTTTGATAAAATTCAACACCCCCTCATGCTAAAAACACTCAATAAACTAGGTATTGATGGGACGTATCTCAAAATAATAAGAACTATTTATGACAAACCCACAGCCAATATCACACTGAATGGGCAAAAGCTGGAAACATTCCCTTTGAAAACTGGCACAAGGATGCCCTCTCTCACCACTCCTATTCAACATAGTATTGGGAGTTCTTGCCAGGGCGATCAGGCAAGAGAAAGAAATAAAGCATATTCAATTAGGAAGAGAGGAAGTCAAATTGTCTCTGTTTGCAGATGACATGACTGTATATTTAGAAAACCCCATTGCCTCAGCCCAAAAACTCCTTAAGCTGATAAGCAACTTCAGCAAAGTCTCAGGATACAAAAATCAATGTGCAAAAATGCACAAGCATTCCTATACACCAATAATAGACAAACAGAGAGCCAAATCATGAGTGAACTCCTATTCACAATTGCTTCAAAGAGAATAAAATACCTAGGAATCCAACTGACAAGGGGTGTGAAGGACCTCTTCAAGGAGAACTACAAACCACTTCTCAAGGAAATAAGAGAGGACACAAACAAATGGAAAAACATTCCATAGTCATGGATAAGAAGAATCAATATTGTGAAAATGGCCATACTGCCCAAAGTAATTTATAGATTCAATGCCATCCCCATCAAGCTACCACTGACTTTCTTCACAGAATTAGAAAAAACTACTTTAAATTTCATATGGAACCGAAAAAAGAGCCCATATAGCCAAGACAATCCTAAGCAAAAAGAATAAAGCTGGAGGCATCATGCTACCTGACTTCAAACTATAAGGCTACAGTAACCAAAACAGCACGGTACTGTTAGCAAAACAGATATATCAACCAATGAAGCAGAACAGAGGCCTCAGAAGTAACACTGCACAACTACAACCATCTGATCTTTGACAAACCTAACAAAAACAAGCAATGGGGAAACGATTACCTATTTAATAAATGGTGTTGGGAAAACTGTCTAGCCATATGCAGAAAACTGAAACTGGACCTTTTCCTTACACCTCATACAAAAATTAACTTAAGATGGATTAAAGATTTAAATGTAAGACCTAAAACCATAAAAACCCTAGAAGAAAACCTAGGCAATACCATTCATGACATAGGCATGGGCAAAGTCTTCTTGACTAAAACGCCAAAAGCAATTGCAACAAAAGCCAAAATTGACAAATGGGATCTAATTAAAGAGCTTCTGCACAGCAAAAACAAAACAAAACAAAACAAAACAAAACAAAAAACAACTATCATCAGAGTGAACAGGGAGAAAATTTTTGTAATCTATCCATCTGACAAAGGGCTAATATCCAGAATCTACAAGGAACCTAAACAAATTTACAAGAAAAAAACAACCCCATCAAAAAGTGGGCAAAGGATATGAACAGACACTTTTCAAATGAAGACATTTATGCAGCCAACAAACATATGAAAAAAATCTCACCATCACTGGTCATGAGAGAAATACAAATCAAAACCACAATGAGATACCATCTCACGCCAGTTAGAATGGCGATCATTAAAAAGTCAGGAAACAACAGATGCTGGAGAGGATGTGGAGAAATAAGAACGCTTTTACACTGTTGGTGGGAGTATAAATTAGTTCAACCATTGTGGAAGACAGTGTGGTGGTTCCTTAAGGATCTAGAACTAGAAATATCACTTGACCCAGCAATCCCACTACTGGGTATATACCCAAAGGATTATAAATCATTCCATTATAAAGACACATGCACACGTATATTTATTGTGGCACTATTCACAATAGCAAAGACTTGGAACCAACCCAAATGCCCATCAATGACAGACTGGATAAAGAAAATGTGGCACATATACACCATGGAATACTATGCAGCCATAAAAAGAATGAGTTCGTGTCCTTTTCAGGGACATGGATGAAGCTGGAAACCATCATTCTCAGCAAACAAACAGGAACAGAAAACCAAACACCATGTGTTCTCACTCATAGGTGGGAGTTGAACAATGAGAACAAATGGACACAGTGAGGGGAACATCACACACTGGGGTCTGTCGAGGGTGGGGGACAAGGGGAGGGATAGCATTAGGAGAAATACCTAATGTAGATGACGGGTTGATGGGTGAAGCAAACCACCATGGCACATGTATACCTACATAACAAACTGCACATTCTGCACCATGTATCCCAGAACTTAAAGTATAATAAAAAAAGGTAAAATCAGGACAAAAAAAAAGAATGAGGCTGGGGCCTGGAGAAACAAAGATAAACAGCTCGGGTACCTCTCATAAGGAGCTGGTGACCTAGAGACAGATGCACGTAAAGCTGTTATAATAAATGTGATATAATAGAGGGAGAAAGACCACTGAAGCCCAGTACTGATTGTGGCAAAGGCTGCTGCTGTCAGCCACAACTGTGCACCTCCTCTTCCCTAGTGTAACTTTGCTGCTAGGTAGCAACTTCCCAGCCTGGGACTATACTTCCAGCAGCATCTCTTGCACACAAACGTAGTCATGGTCAAATTTTGTAATAAAAGCTGATCAAAGCAAAGGTCAACACACACACACACACACACACACACACACAAACACACACCCCTATTGGTACCTACTTAATGCAAGTGCCACCTACCATGTTAACCTTTGGGCCAAGAGGAGTCTAGAGACTCCTAGAGAGAAAAAAAAGAAAGAAAACATGGAGATTTCTGTATTTAAGGCTCTTTGGTGACATGAAAAAGAGCCAGAAGCTCCTGCAGCTTAGAAGAAGTATGCAGAATGAAAAGTGGGGCTACCGTGCACAGCAGAGCAGAGGGTGCTATCCCCTGAGCAGGACAATGGCTCACCCCGACCCTGAGGTTCCAGGCCACGGAGCCACGTGGCAAGGCTGAGCTCTCCTGGTGGAGCATGAGGTGTGAGGGAGGGGCCCAGTGGCAGCCCCGATGTCCCTTCCATCTCTTCAGCATGCTTAGGATCATGCCTCCCCTGACTTAGAAATAAAGTCCAGCAATCAAGTCCCCATGGGCATCCTCTTGATGAATTACACTCCCTCCTTTTATGTCAGATGTTCCTTAATGCTTCATTGTGACTTCCAGGCAGGTGAGCTTTTGAAAATATTCATTTTCTTCCTTCTTCATGAAAATCATTTCTTGCCCTCCCATCCTGATTCAACATCAGATCTTTTACTTTCACTATAACACTATTTCTCAGTATGTTTCAATAGAAGTTGCAGTTCTTACTGTTTTTAGCAAAATACATTTTTCCATTATCAGTGTTTAAACGTACGAGTGCAGTTTTAGCGAAATATCTTCATGATGACTTCTGGATCCCTGGAGGGATAATAAGACTGAAACACCATAGGAAGCTTTACTTTAAACCAGGGTTGGCTCTTGATGGAGTGGTATGCAGTTGGTTCTTCGTGTTTCTGTTGTTAGCTGGATCGCATTTCCACACTGTTGTCTGTTAGATAAATGCGCCCAAGAAGATGTATAAAGCTGTCTCAGATGTTTCAGTGTTTAAGACTAGAGAACACTGGGTTTGCTGGTTCCCTCACATTCTACACTCTCCCCTGTATCTCTGGGGATCCTGGCTTCTTTTTCTTTCAATACAGACTTCTTTTATTACAGGTTTGCAGTACACCCTCTCCTTCACCCTTACTCAGGTTTGCAGTTCACCCTCCCCTTCACCCTTCCCAGTCCATGTCCAAGTCCAAGCACAGCCTAAGACCTCACACACTGCAGGTAATAATAACAGTAACAGTAGCAACAAGAATGATAGTAAATGAAATTTACTGAGCATTTTCTACATGCCAGGCACTTGTTAAAGAGCTTTTCAATTAGCCACTCATTTAATTGTAATAATAACCATGTGAAATAAATATTATCGTCCCCATCTTACACATGGAAAGACTGAGGCTAAGAGAGGTTTCATAAGTTGCCTCCGACCTCACATTGAGTGACGGCTAGAGCCATTATTTGATTTCACGCTTTTTGACTTCAAAGTCTCTATTCAATGCCTATGCTATATTGCTTTTGTCATATTTTCCTTTTTCTTGAAGGCTTTGCAATTAAGATGTAAAGAAAACTGTTATCTTGACTTCCAGTTCATGTTTTACCATTTTGATATTAAGCCAAAGTAATAACGTTCTTATTTTGACCAAGGTCTTACAGGGAAATTTTAGGTATGACTTACTCTACCAAGTTAAAAAAAAAAAATAGAACTCTCATTGCAGTATTTTTTTTTTTTTTAGAAAATATACCATAGTTTTCTCTCTTAGTTCAAGTTGCCTTAATTCCCTGTAGACCCATAACAAGGAGACTTGCTATGAAACTTGCAAGGCCGCTGGGTAAAATGATCCCCACTTTCCTGAAACATAACTGTTTTGGTAAAATTTCTCTAATAGAGAGTCTAGAAAATCTTTGTAGGCTTAAGTTCCCAGGTACTCTGTGGGGGTGGGTGGGGGGTCCTGTTTCTAATGATCTATCCCCAGGGCTTACACCTAGGGGTGGTTTCACAGAAGACTCCTTTCATAAGTGAAATAATTTTTTTTTTAAACTAAGGATTCTTGCTTTTTTTGCATTTGATATTTCTTCCACTACATTTTCTTTGTTTGGCTATACACCCGAATTCCCCAGTTCTAGCAAATTTAAGATTCCCACTATGTACCTAGATTTATGTCTTATGGGTACTCCAGTGCCTACTGCTCCGGCTGGTACGTAGTAGGTATTTAGTATTTGCTAAGTAAAGAGGAACATTGAATTAATTGAATTGGATTCCCTGAAACAGGATTCGAACCCTTAGCCAAATGTGAGCCCTTGCTTGGACATGGTCGAAGAAGCCAGCGCATTAGGAAGGATTAGCTTCATTTCCAGCCAGAAAAACACTCCAGAGTGACAACTTAATTGAGTCCTGCTGCAGGCTCGGTTCTGGTTTGCTGCATGCAGGGCTGCTCTCTCTGGCTGAACTGGGCACAGAGATTGTGCAGCAAAATAAACAGCTGACTGCCTTGCACCAGAGTCTCTCTGATGACACAGCGCTTGACTTCAAGTGTCAACAAACGGACCCTGAAATGAGACTAGATGTGAAACAAAGGACAGATTGTTCAAGCACTTTGCAACCGACACTCAGGGCCCCGTGTTGGAGTCAGTGAGCCTTGGAGACAACAGGAGAGAATCCAAAAGAAAGAGGAATTGTGGAAGATTCTCTCGCTTAAGTTAACTGGAATACTCTTGTGTTTGTATTTGACTTTTTCTGTTCCCCTCTTTCTCTTGCACATTGACACATTCCCATACATTTATGATTCGGAATCAGGAAAGGGATTGCAGGCTCTGAAAGCTGAAAGAGATCATCTAACCCAAACACTTCTTTTTTGGGGTCACAAATAAATAAGTACATTTAAAATACTTTATTCATTAGGAACTAAATCTCTGAAAATATGAAGCTCCATGGTCACAATTCCACATGGGAAACGAGAGAGTTGCCACTGCAGAGCAAGATGAAGCATGCTTGCCGGGCATCTGCCACACACTGAATGAGCCCACTGTCTATAAGAAAGTTACTACAAAAGGTGCAAGTGGCTTACCTGAAACACCCCATCAAGGATGCAATCCTGCAGTGCCTTTAATAGGCCCAACAAGTGCTTTGTGCTTTGCCTTGGACAGAAAAAGCCCATGGATTCTCATAAAGAAAGGCTTTTTTAAGACGGTCAGGCTCCAATGTGCCCAATCCTTTGCAGATGATTGGACCTGCATAGGTAAGTCCCCCTTCTGAGCACCTTGTCTGTGGTATGTTCACGGTTGTCTGCAGGACTAACAAGGATGGCTAAGGGTTCATCGGGTAAAACTTTTTAAATTGCCAAAATGAAGCTACACCAGCCTTTCCCTAAGAACTCCTGCCTTCTAAAACCAGATGTAGATTAAGACAAGAGTTACAGCTTCTACACTAAAAATGAACAGTGCAAAATATTACAGGTACTCTTTCCTGAATACATTACACATTAAAGGTTCTGTAGTCCACACTCTGTTCTGAACCACCAGGAAGAATCCTCAGAGGACTTGTGAGACCACAGCGCTCTCTCTGGAGCAATAAGAGAAGAGACTGAAACATCCTACCATTAGACACACACACACACACACACACACACACACACACACACACACACACACACGAGCGATGGTGAACACGTTACTCTAAGTGCCGGATTCCCCACCAGACTCCCACCCCTATTGCCTGACCCAGGACTAGAGATGGATTCATGGATTGACTTAAGCTTTGAGTTAGCTTACCATAATAGGAAAAAGAAAATGGATGAAGACTGCCCAGGAATTCCTCCCCAGTCTTGCCCACAGGACCTCCACATAGTCCATTTTAGATTATGCCTACTTGGCTGCATTTTACTGAATGTTTGAAAAGAATTGCTTGATTCAGGTCGGACAACGGCTTAACCTTTCTAGACTTCCATCAGCTCTGAGCGTCTCATGCCACACCACAAAATTCTGCAGCAGCGTTTAATTCTGCATGTGACTAATGTCTGTTTATTTCCGAGAGGAAGAAAAGCCAAGAAGAGTGAGCCTTATATAGAGAATGAATGCTTAAATAAAATACCAACAACTAGAAAGCAGAAAAACATATCCGTTTTATTGTACTGTTTTTTTTCTTTCCACACTTTTCACTAAAAAATTTTTGCGACTTGTATTAATATGTTTTCAATTATTTATTAAAGTAAACCTACTTTCCTCTATGAACTAATTCAAACCAAAACAATGCCTATTTACACAAGACCTAATTTCTAAAGGCACCGTTACATCTAACCCACTTTTAGACTAAATTAAATTATTAAGACATAAAACATACTAAGTAGATTTATAGTCCTCCCTCTTTTTAAATAAATTCCTAAATGTCTTCACGTGGTCTATTTTATGTGAGTTTCACAAAATCTTGGAAGATAACAGAAGTAGACTATTTTACACATGGCAATACTAATACAATACTGAGGCTCAGAGATAACAAATTACCTGATCAAATTCATTCCAAAAAAAAAAAAAAAAAGTTGCAATTTACTAAGTTGCTACCAAGTGCCTTGATTGGCAGTTCCCAGTATTAGTGCCTGGAGTGACTGTCCACAATTCTGACAATTCTGAACATAGCACATGTCCACGGGCACTTCCCAACTGCCACTGTACTACCAAGTGAGATCAAACCCTCCTGCCCCTCAGCTCCTTAGAAGAATTGCAGCTTGTCTGAAGATATTGGAAGTACTAGAGCATGCTGCCTAAATTGCTTCAGTTTGTAAATACTTCAATATTGGTAGGCATCTCAGAGCCAGCTCAGTGACCTCACATAAGACAGGTCAGAATCAGCTTAGAGGAGCTAGCCCCATGCTTCACACAAATAGGTTCACGTTAGTTTCCCAAGCATAGCTTTCACAGAACACTGGTGCCTGGGATTTTGACTTAGTGTTTGTGAGGCAAAACAGCATCAGTGTTTTCCTAGACACTCCCCAGGTCAACCTAATGTGTGATGGAGAAACATCAACCCCAGAATGGTGGTCCCAGCCTCATGCGCTACCTAGGGCTTGCCATTTCTGTCCTTCACTCCTCCTAGAGCACATCTGCCTCTGGGAGTTTCTCTCATGCACGCTTCCTTCATGAAATCAGAGACACAAGATCAGTGTGATAGTAAACCTATAGATTTCTGCTTCTCAGCATAAAGGAATAACAGGGACTAGATTTACTCTCCTTTCTACAATAAGAACATAGGAAAAATACACGAATGATGTGTTTTAGACTTTGGACAACAGGCAGTACAAGAGAGTCAACTGTAAGAGACAGGAGACAAACATTTGAGCTTACGAGGGCCCCAGCTCACTGCCTAGAGAAAGCTTCCAGACCACAGCCTAAGAAAGGAGATTGAGATAAGACCTGGTGGCCTAATGAACTGAGGACACAAAGCCCAGAGTTCCAGGAGTTCGGTAAAGCTAGACGTTATGGAGCAGGGTGTTGGAGAGGAGGTGCTTCACAGAAGACCTGAGCTCTAGAGACCTGCAGCACAGTCCTATGGGACCTTTAGCTCAATACTTATCTGTGTAAAAATGTGAGTGTGAAATGAACAAACACTAAATAATCACACGTCAAAATTCATAGAACGCATGCAAGGAAGTGCTAAGAGGAAATTTATGGCATTTTCCATAACCCAGGAACTCTCATAACCTGCCAAAAGATATCTGCCAAATGATATCTACGAGAAACCAACAAGTAACATACTGAATGGTTGAATACTGAACACTTTTCCCCTTAGATCTAGAACCCAGGCAGAGATTTAATCCCTCACACTTCTAGTCATCATTTTACTGGCAGTCCTAGCCAGTGTAATAAGGTAGGAAAAGGAAATAAAAGCAGTAAAAATCAGAAATTAGTAAGTAAAACTGGCTTGATTTGCAGATAAAATGAACAGCTATGTAGAAAATCCTAAGAAATGTATGGAAAAACTACAAAATCAATAAAACAGTTGTTCAGCAAATTTGTAGGATAAAAAGTCAATTTACAAAAATAAATAATATTTCTGTATACTAACAATTGGAAATAGTAAGTTAAAAATTCATAACACCTTTTGAATAATCTTAAAAATATAATCTAAGTGATAAACTTTAAAAAATATGTGATATTGGTAAAAATTTAAAATACCTAAATAAAGAGATCTACACTCAAATACACTTAATGTTACTAACATGCCAATTCTCCGAAAATTGATGTATAGAGTTAATGCAATCTTAATATTCCAGGTGGATTTTCTGCAGAAATCATCAAACTTATTCTAAAATTTATATTGAAACATAAGTAATCTAGAATAGCCAAAACAATTTTAAAGAGGAAGAAAATCTGAAGACTTAAACGACCTGATTTTAAGTCTTTTTAAAAGTTACAGTAATCAGACAGTGTAATAATGTTGCAAAGGTAGTCAAATAGATCAATGGAACAGAATAGAGTCCAGAAACAGACCCATTCATCAGTAGCAAATTCATTTTCAATAAAAGTGCAAGTAAAAGCAACTCCATGGAGACAATCACCATTTCAACATAACATGAACAAACTGGACATCCACATACCAGCAAAAATGATCCTTGATCTTTATACCATCTAAAAAATTTAACATGAACTGCATTACAGAGCTAAATGTGCAAATTAAAACTATAAAATTTCTAGAAACAAACAAAATAAAGCTTAATGACCTTGGCTGAGACAAAACTTTCTTAAATAGAGTATGACAGTCAAAATCACAAAAGAAAAAAATTGATAAATTAGACTTGGTGAAAATTAAAAGACTCAGCTCTTCAAAAGGCACTATTAAGGTTGTTAAAGAAATGACAGCAAGCCACGTATTGAAATAAGCTATCTGCAAAACATTTATTTGACAGTATATATTTAGAGATCTTACAATTCAATAATAGGAAGGCAATGTCCAATAATAAACTGGTCAAGGAGCTGCGTGATCCTTTTGTCAGTGAAGTTACAGGTGGCAAATAAATACACAAAAAGATACTCATCATTTGTCACAATCTGCCAGTTTCTAATAACGTTAAACATAAACTTATCATATGACCAGTAATTCTACTAAATATTTTGCTAAAAGAATAAAAATTTTCACAGAATTGCCTATGCATGAGTGTTCATAACTTTATTCAAATTAGCTAAGAACAGGAAACAACCCAAATGTCCATCAACTGTTGAATGGATCAACACACTGAGTTATGTCCATATAACGAAATTCTACATAATAATAACAAAGAATTGAACCACTGATAAGCATGCAACGACACGGATGAATCTTGAAGGTACTATACTGAGAAGGAGGCCAGACCCAAATGATAGGTACTCCATGATTCCATTTATATGAATTCTAGAAAGGGACTTAACCACAGTGTTAGAAAGCAGAGCACTGATTTCCGAGGGCTGGGGTGTAAAGGAATGGACTGACTGTAAAAAGATAGAGGGAAGCTGTTTTTAAGGATGAAATTGTTTTGTATCATAATCGTGCTTACATGACTACACATTTTTTCAAAGCTCACTAAAATGCACTCTTAAATTAGAGAATGTGAATGAATGCATACTGTATCTCAATAAAGATGACACAAAAAAGTATAGAAAAATTGAAGAAAGAGAGGGAGAGCAGTAGAATATGAACTTACTGTGCAATGAAGGAAAACAATCTCAGGGGAAAGTCCAGTCACCAAGGTATCCTGACTTAGGTAACTTTCTGTCAAAGTTTTGGGGAATATGATGTGATTTAATGAGTTTATCTCTGAAATATGATGCATCTGTTAGAAGCAAAGTTCAAGTAACACTATTAAAGCTTAAAAGCAAAGAAAGTAATTTTAAAAATAAGCAATAGGATGAGAAATTTATCCCAAAAAGCCGCTCTTCTGTTAAAGCAGCTCGAACAAAACTGTCAAAATCACCCTCCTCAGAACTCTGCAAAATAACCAAAGGCTTACAAGAATCTGAGGAGTATTTATTCAAGAAAAAAAATGGCTGAATCTTAGCCAGGACAGGAGCTACACCACTTGGGAGCTATACTCACTACCTGGGAGAGATTTGTGTCATTCTAACATGGCAAGGTACCAACCTTCTCCCTCTAGTTCATCAGGTTAAACATGGAGTTACCACATGACTCAGGAATTCCACTCTTAGATATCTACCCAAGAGAAACAAAAACATGTCCACACAAAAGCACGTACACAAATATTCATAGTAGCACTACTCATAATAGCCACAAAGTGGAAAGAACCCCAATGTCCACCATGGATCAACAGATAAAGAAAATGTGGTAAATACACCCAATGGGATGGCTCAGTCATAAAACGCAATGAAGTACTGACATGCTACTACATGAATGAACCTTGAAAACATCACGCTGTGTGAAAGAAGCCAGCCATGAAAGAGGACACCATGTACGATTCCACTTATATGGAATGATAGTTGCGGGGAATGATAGTTGTTTTTGGTTATACTACAGCGATGGCTATTGAGGAATACACAGAGGCATGAGGGTCAGGCATTGAAGTTTTAGGGAGTGTCCTAGTGGGCTTAGCAATGGAAGTGGCATTAGTTTGGTGGGTGGCAGAGTATGATGGAGTGGTGGTAGGAAATTCATAGAAACTAAAACAATAGTGGTTTTCAGGAGCTAGGGGACAGGGTAGACGGGGAATAACTGCTAATAGGTTTGAAGTTTCTCTTTTGAGGTGATAAAAATATTCTAAGCTTAGGTCATGATATAGGTTGCATAGCTCTCTGGATATGCTAAAAACCAAAATATTGTAGCTTTAAAAATGTCCATTTTTCACAAAAGGTCTGATATCCACAATCTACAATGAATTTAAAATAAACAAGCAAAAAGCAAATAACCACATTAAAAAGTGGACAAAGAATATGAACAGACACGTCTCAAAAGAAGACATACAAGCAGCCAACAAACATATGAAAAAATGCTGAACATCACTCATCATCAGGGAAATGCAAATCAAAACCACAATGACATACCGTCTCATGCACAATGAGATACCAACTCGATGGTTTTTTTAAAAAGTCAAATAATAACAAATGCTGTCAAGGCTACAGAGCAAAGCTCACACACTGTCAGTGGGAGTGTATGATAATCCCAGCCACTGTGAAGAGCAGGCTCAAAGAACTAAGAGTTGAAATACCATTTGACCCAGCAATCCCACTACTGGGTATATATCCAAAGGAAAATAAATAATTCTACCAAAAGATACGTGTATGCATATGTTCCTTGCAGCACTACTCACAATAGCAAAAACATGGAATCAACCCAGGTGCCCACCAATGGTGAACTGGATGAAGAAAATGTGGTACATATACACCATGGAATACTACACAGCCATAAAAAAAGAATGAAACCATACCCTTTACAGATAGGACTCACTAACTCAGCTGTTTTTCTCAGAGTCCTCTATCTATATCTTTAAATTCATTATTCCTCATCTGATTCCTGTTCCTAAACTCTAGCAACCCTAGACATGAGCTCATTAATAGTTTGTGAAAGAGAATTAAAACTATCTCGCATGCACACAGGACGAATTCCATGAAGCACCACCAACAGTGTATCACAGGCAGCTCTCATGCTCCCAACAGGAAATCAGAGAGAGACACTGATGTTAGGTTGGACGCGAGCTTTGTAACAGCTGAACAGCCCTGTGTTCGACGAGCCAGAGAAACACTCCCGAGGTCAGCTAATGGACTAGTCACAGCAACGATGTGACAAGGGACCAACTCTCCCTCCCCAATCACTACAAGGAAGGCTTGGTAATTCTACGGGTTGTTGTAACTACTGCACTGCAAGCTGCTGTCCTGTCAGGCTGAAGTTAGATGCTCCTTGTTCATGCTCCGGCCTCTTTTCCACAGTGGCTCCTAGGAGCTCCTGGAGTTCAAACTGCAAGGCCATCTCCTTCAGAGAAACTGAGAGCTAAGTCACATATCATGCTGAGCTTATCAGGGATGGGAAAATGCATTGGACCTGGAATATGACCCCAACTGCAAATCTAAACACAAGCCCAAAGCCACCAGCATCCCCAGCACAGGATGGGCAGTGTCATGCAGGCAGGATGAACCCTGACCACACTCTAACATTTCCCCTCACCTTTGACTACTGGATCTCTTTAGCATCTGCTTCTGAGCTAGAGATTTTTTTTTTATCTTTTGTGTTTGTTTGTTTGTTTGTGAGACAGGGTCTTGCCCTGTCACTCAGACTGGAGTGCTGTGGCACCATCAGGGCACACTGCAGTCTTGACCTCCACGGGCTCAGTGATCTTCCCACCTCAGCCTCCCAAGTAGCTGGGACTACAGGCAGATGACACTAAGCTCAGCTAATTTTTCTATTTTTGGTAGAGATGGGGCTTTTCCATGTTGCTCAGGCTGGACTTGAATTTGCGAGCTCAAGTGATCTGCCTGTCTCAGCCTCCCAAAGTGCTGGGATTACAGGCATGAGCCACCACCAAGCCTGGCCAAGAGATTTCTTATTTTAAGGTAAATGAGGCTTGTCATTTTGTTCCATACTTCTACTCATAGTATTTTGTTTTTATAATTCTCACATCCTTAAAAAGCCAACACAAGTATACATATGTAACAAACCTGCACGTTGTGCACATATACTATAAAAATTAAAGTATAATTTTTTAAAAAAAAGGCTATATGCAGTAAAAAAAAAAAAAAAAGCCAACACAGGACAGACTGTTTAATTACTTCCTTCTCTGGAGCAGGAGGAGAGGAAGATGAACGGGAGAAGGGGCCAAGGTGGGAGGTAAAGGGCTGGGGAGACAGCAGAGGGAAGACGAGGGGAATGAAGACCCTTCTCTCTCTTTCACCACTGACAGCTGGTGCCTCCCCTGCAAGGGTGAGGATGCGTGTTTTCTCTTAGAAAAAGTTACTGAGTCACAAACACCAGGCCCATTTACACACACATGAACACGTGCACAAACATGAACACGTGCCCAAACACACAAAGCAATTGCTGACTTAGTCAGATATAGTTCAGGTCACAGCCCCATATATGTGTGTTTTTCAATCTAATCAGCTCACAATGTGAAAGATTCTCCAACAACTGAGAAGCTTTTCGACGCCACCAGAGGGGTCGCTTTCATGATTCGTCTTTGATTCCACCCTCTCCTTCATCTTCCACATCCCATCTGTCACTACGTCAGGATGATTCCTTTTACAAAGTCTCTCCATATCTACCTCTTCTTTAGAGTTCTGGCCAACCTCAAGGGTCTGAAAACTTATCAGTCTTTCTAGTGTGACTTTCTCTGTAGAGAACTTCATCATCATCAAGTTTGTGTCATCAGAAAAATTAAATGAACACCGGCCCCATCTGAAAGCAGGTAACTTTTTTGTACAAAACAAGCCCGTTTCCAGGTTAACAGAGCAGCTACAGGTTCTGTTACCACTCAGAGTAACAAAAATATGATGGAAATGGTGCATGGGAGATCTCCTGACCTCGTGATCCGCCTGTCTCGGCCTCGCAAAGTGCTGGGATTACAGGTGTGAGCCACCGCATGGGTGAAACCCCGTTTCTACTAAAAATACAAAAAATTAGCCAGGCGTGGTGGTGGGCGCCTGTAGTCCCAGCTACTCGGGAGGCTGAGGCAGGAGAATGGCGTGAACCCAGGAGGTGGAGCTTGCAGTGAGCTGAGATCGCGCCACTGCGCTCCAACCCGGGGGACACAGCGAGACTCCGTCTCAAAAAATAAAAAATAAAAAATAAAATAAAAAGAATTAGTGCATGGAGAATGGTGTCATTTTCAACAGCCTGATGAAACTAAGCTATTTACACCCTTGTCTGTGTAGGATATCACTGCAGGGATCTTGGCTTCATGCTCAGTGGCCATGAGGAGCGCTGCCTAAGGAGGGACCGGAATGGTTAATGAGGGGAGGCTGGAGAAATAACCAAACATTCAAATAGCAGATGCAGCTGACAGGCAGATGCAGAGACACCATAATATTATCTAGACTGCAAACTGGCAACCCATTCTCAAATGTGAACTAATAAAAGCATTAACAAGCACATGCTCTAGATTATTTCAGAAAATAAATATTATGAGATACACTGGATAAGAGCCACGGTTACACACCAAGGAAACTCTGGCTGACAGATAAAGTACTGTATTGTATGAGGAAACTAATAGAGCAGAAATTATTAATAGGCTTGTCACGATTAACCAAAGTCTGAACTCTGAGAGAAAGAAAGAAAGAAAGAAAGGAAACGAAACGAAAGAAAGGAAAGAAAGAAAAGAAAAGAAAAGAAAGGAAAGAAAGGGAAGAAAGAAAAGGAAAAGGAAAAGGAAAAGAAAAGAAAAGAAAAGGAAAGAAAGAAGCCATGGAGAAGAATGTGGAGCATCAGAGCCAAGCCAGCTCTCACGCAACCTGCTACAGATTCTTGCCAGGCATCTCACAGACACGAAACCCTGTCATGATGAAGAAATCACCACAGGATGTTGGCGCCGGTGGCCCAAGCAGCCTACTGTTCCTGGAATATATGTGAGGACACTGAGACCTCTGAGCAGCTGTCATGCCCCTACATCTCCCAGGTAGTGGGTGCAGATTTGGGGTTTGGAGCCAGGCCTCCTGGATCCCAGGGTGGAAACACTGGCATCCCAGGAACACATTTTCACGGAGCCCTGGTGTGCCCAGGTAGATGGCCGGTGCTGCTAGGAGACATGAAGCGGTAGCGTCTCCAGAACCTGTGGTATTTTCAGAAACGCCAACAAGAGATGAATGAGACACACGTTTTCCAGAAAATTCATTACATTTCAACAACTCTGGACCAGGTGAACTTTTGTTTGAAGACCTGAAACTCAGGCTGGGCACAGTGGCTCACGCCTGTAATCCCAGCACTTTGGGAGGCCGAGGCAGGTGGATCACCTGAGTTCAGGAGTTCGAGATCAGCTTGACCAACATGGTGAAACCCCGTCTCTACTAAAAATACAAAAATTGGCCAGGCATGGTGGGGGGTGTCTGCAATCCTAGCTAATCAGGAGGCTGAGGCAGGAGAATCATTTGAGCCCGGGAGATGGAGATTGTAGTGAGCTGAGATCGCACCACTGCAATCCAGGTTGGGCAACAGAGTGAGACTCCATCTCATAAATAAATAAATAAATAAATAAATAAATAAATGGTAAAAAGACCTGAAAGTCAGTACAAGTTCAGGAAGCAGTAGACGACCTGATGCTGTGTCCTCATCAGTCACCTCTGCTGCGAGGGCTCAGCCAAGTCTCAGAGCTCAACCAGGCCTCGTGCACTGTGCATGCTTTACAGCAGCAGTCCCCAAATTTTCTGGCACCAGGGGCTGGTTTTGTGGAAGACAGTTTGTCCATGGATGGGACACGGAGTGGGGATGGCTTCGGGATGAAACTGTTCCACCTCAGATATTAGGCATTAGATTCTCATAAGGAACATGCAACCTAGATCTCTTGCACATGCAGTTCACAATAGGGTTCCCACTCCTATGAGAATCGAATGCCACCCCTGATCTGACAGGAGGTGGGGCTTGGGCAGTCATGCTCACTCACCTGCTGCTCACCTCCTGTGCAGCCCTGTTCCTCACAGGCTGTAGACACATATTGATTCACAGCCCAGGGGTTGGGGACTTCTGCTTTATAGGAAAGAGTACCTGGGTGCCCTGTGTCAGATGGTGGCCTCTTGAAGCGGGATGCTTTTTCCAGCCACCCTAGGAGTACTAAATACCAGCAAGACAACCTGGGCACCTTCTCCAGGTTTTCTCGGGTTTTTTACTTTGGTGCTTCCTTCCTCTTGCTATGAAGGAGCAAGACGAGGGAGAAATCATCTACACTAAAGCCCCCATAGTGCCTGGCACGTGGCAGGTGCTCGGGAAACTGAGGGGTGGCAAAGCTCCTTATGAGCGTGGCCACTCAACTCCCCTACCCTTGGACTTTACTCTGTTCTTTCTTTTCACCTCTTCTGCCTCACCTTCCCTCCTACCCTCACGTTAGCTTCCTTTTTACTCTCATTTTCTACTTTTCCATATGGTATATTCCTTGAAACAATGAGGGTTCTTAGGAGGTTGTCTTCGCTCAGGGGTCTTTAATAAATGTATAGAAAATAGTACAAACCGTTTAGAGAATACAAATGAAGGAACAGTTAATTTAGTCTTCGTAGGAGAGTCAAAAAGTCCCCAAAATAGAAAACACATTGGAATTGGGTCTTGAAGGATGTGTATTAGCGTGTGAAGCATCAAAATGAAGGAAGAGCATTCCAAGAATAAACAACATAAATGAAGGTATGGAAATGAGAAATTTCATGTTACATTCAAGAAACTGCTATAGTCTTATACTGCTAAAATGTAGAGTATTTGTGGGGTGGGAAGGTGGTGTCTGAAGGTGATTCTTAGGCTTCTAGATGGTTCCACATGGGTGGATGATAGTACCAGTAACCAAGACATGAAACACAGAGAAACAAGAACATTTGGAGGAGCAAATACTGTGTTGGCTTCTTGACAGGTTTACTTCCTGAGCATTGGGTCTCTGTGGGCTTCATCTAGAAATGTTTGTTAGGAAGTTCCAAAATAAAAACCCAGCTCACGTAAGGGGCTGGGACCAACTGTACGGCATGATGGTGGGTGGTTGTGACACCAAGTAGACAACATAAATCACACAGTGACCATATGATCTTAGACTGTTAACCAGAAACGTCAATATTGAAAGTTCAGGCAGAGGAAGAGAAGCACAAAAGACGAGAACTTGAAAACTTTGCAGAGAAGGCAAGGAAGGCTATTACCACAGGAACGAAGGAGGAAGTGAGCTTCAGAAAGGAAGAAGGAGCCACTAGCATCAGATTCTGCAGACAGTATCAAATAGGATAAGGATTTAAAATAGGCCATTGGAGCACAAAGAAACACCGTTTCACAGGACTAGTCTTCAAAACTATTATCTCCTGGCACCTCACTTCCCTTCCAGTGCTTTACTTTTGGAGAGCTAGTCATCCATTCAGGCTCTTGTAAGATAAAGTCTTCTGGAGAAGCATTCATACTGCCTTTATCCTGCCTCCAGAACAAGACAGCCTTTCCCAGCAAAGTGATGCCACCACCATTTCTTTCCCCCCAGCTCTGCTCTCCTCTGCAGTGTAGTCTGTGCTCCCACAGTAAACAAATCAGCCACAAGAGGGGACATATAATGGCTGTGTGTGTGCTCTAGCACAGGGGTCCCCAACTTGAGCCATGAATGATGGCTTCATCTGTACTTACAGCCGCTCCCCATCGCTCGCATTACTGCCTGAGCTCTGCCTCCCGTCAGGTCAGCTGCAGCATCAGATCCTCATAGGAGTGCAAACCCTACTGTGAACTGAGCATGTGAGGGATCTAGGTTGTCAGCTCCTTATGAGAATCCAATGCCTGATGATCTGTCACTGTCTCCCATCATCCCCAGATGGGACTGTCTAGTTGCAGGAAAACAAGTTCAGGGCTCCCACTGATTCTATATTATGGGGAGTTGTACAGGTATTTCATTATACGTTACAATGTAATAAGAATAAGAAATAAAGTGCACAATAAATGCAATGTGCTTGAATCATCCTGAAACCATCCCACCCCACCCCACTCCCCGGTCCATGGAAAAATTGTCTTCCATGAAACCAGTCCCTGGTGCCAAAAAGTCTGGGGACTGCTGCTGTAGCAGGTCACAGATAAACTCACAGACAGCAGCGAGGGAAGCTCTTTGAAAAGAGCGTGCTCTCCATAAACCTAGAATCACACGATCTGTGCCTCTGCCCACTCTGCCTACGCAGAAGACTGGCCCTGGTAAAAAAAAATAAAATAAAAAAATGAGGAAAAAGGACATGAACCATCTACCAACTTCTCACAGGAGCTTAGGCAGCTGGCATGAGGCTTGAACTCACAGCTTGTGGATTCCTGCCACAGGTTCCACCTGGCTAGGGAGTTCCTGCCTGAACCATGATGAGAGACCTAGATAAATGCCAAACACCATTGTTCTTAACAGTGGCTGGGCATCGGCTCCTCTCACCTTCCCGGATCATCTCTTTTTATTCTGAGACTTCTTAAAAATAGCTCAGAGCAATTTTCAAAGCCTAATAATCATAAAAGAAGGTGTTAGGGATAATCACATGTATGGAAGCTCAAAGCCGGGCATGGCTTTCCAGCTTCCTCATTAACATACCTGCCATGCCCAATATCAGAAGCACTGCCATCCTCCCCCACACATGGGTCTTTAGGAAGGTTGGAGAACAGTCCTCCCTTTGGATAGCCAACTGTGAAACACTGGGCTTTTTCCTGAGGGGACAGCAAAGGAAAAGGTACTCATGTCCTCAGGCAGTGATATAATCCTAGATCACCCAGTGACACAGCAGGGGAGCAATCAACTCATTGTCCCCACACAGTATGAGGGCACCTGGAGAAATCACACACAAATATGCACACACACACACATACGCATGCACACACATTCACACACACATGCACACACACGTACACACATACACACTCGCACACACATGCACACACACACGTGCACACACAGACAGGCTGCTAAGCTGAGCTGGGCTGGGGTCCAACAGATGACCAGTCAGCTCAGTGAAGGAAATACTGTATTTCCTATGAAAAAATAAAGTTCGGTATCACTCACTCTTTCCAGCTTTCACCTTCCCTCACATATCAACCATCCCTAATCTTTTGCAGGAAGGTGAAGAGCGCATTCCTACAGCTTTTTCCTACAAGCATTTTTCCTGGCTCACTTGGGGTATGGCTATTAACAATGTGACCAATGTGTTTTTGTCCAACTAAAACTAGGCCTTTGAATTATAAAATTATGCGTACACAAGGAAGTCAACTGGAGAGGATTGACTCCAATTTTAAAGAAGTTCTACTGTGGGTAAAATGTTATAAAATAGCATGACGTGCCACAGAGAACCTTTTATGAAAGTAAGAGTCGATCAGTGCGGCAAACCTCACTGTTGTCTTATTTTAAGAAATGGCCACAGGTACCCCAAACTTCATAAAGTTTTACTTTATGATATCAGATATCTAAGTGATACCAGATATCTAAGTGATTAGAGTTTGATCACACACCTCATTTGCTTGATTTGGCTCCAAATGGTTTTTTACTCTTTTCAAAAAGCAACACTGATATTGAACTTGGGCCAGCTAATCAACCAACAATAGCTTCAAAGTGTCAAAGTGAAAGGAAGAGTCACACATCTCTCACTTTAAATAAAAAAAAATTAGAATTGATTATGCTGAGTGAGGAAGGCATGTTGAAAGCTGAGATAGGCTGAAAGCTAGGCCTCTTGCGCTAAACAGTTAGCCAAGTTGTGAGTGCAAAGGCAAAGTTCTTGAAGGAAATTAAAAGTGCTACTCCAGTGAACACATGAATGATAAGAAAGCAAAACAGCCTTATTGCTGACATGAAGAAACTTTGAGTGGTCTGGATAGAAGGTGAAACCAGCCACCACATTCCCTTAAGACAAAGCCTAATCCAGGGCAAGGCCCTACCTCTCTTCAGTTCAATTCTATGGAGGCTGAGAAAAATGAGGAAGCTGCAGAAGAAAAGCTGGAAGCTAGCAAAGATTGGCTCATGAGGTTTAAGGAGCAAAACCATCTCCATAACATAGTGCAAGGTGAAGCAGCAAGTGCTGATGGAGAAGCTGCACCAGAAAAAGTTCACAATTTGGCTTTCCACCTGAAATGTCTGCAGGTAATGTCTCCTTTATCATCTCAAGAAGTCACATCCTTCTCCTAAGAATGCAATTAGGGGACTCCTAGTTTGAGTCCCTCCAAAATAGGTGGACCCTAGGGGATTCTACACTTACTGAGCAAGGGAGATTCAACCCACAGGTGAGCGCCAGGACACCTGGGGTTCATTTAGGACCCATTAGTAACGAGCATGCTATGTGCCAGGGAAAGAGGCACTGCAGAAAAATTCTGTGGTGCTGAAGTCAGAAGCCCCAGCCTTCCCTGCTATTTATACAACAGAAAAAAAAAAAAAGTCCTGACTTATTGTTATTGTCATTCTCTTTCCCTTAGTGACCAGAAGCATCGGATGGGAACGGAGAGGAGGCCAGGTTCTTGGCCTGCCTTTGAAATATGTCATAATTAATTTTTGCCACCAAATGCCTCTCATTAGAAAATCTCTGAACTCATCTCAGCAGGTGAAGTGATGTATCCCCTCAACGGCGTGCTCTGCCTAGCAGGTAAAGATTATTACTACAAGCAGGGGGTGTGGGAAGGTGCATACTGAGCAGACTGTGTTCCAAGCGCTTGCCAAGCAGTTCTTGAGGGTTTTTTTAATGTCTGTGTTCGCAGGTGCTGAGCTGAGGCCCTGAAGGAACAGAAGGCCTCTCTCTACACACCCCAGGAAACAGGCCAGATGTTCAGGGAGAAATAGCAATGGGCTTTCAGGGACTGGAGCCAAGAGAGCTGATTTTGTTGTAGTGTCTGTTCCTGCTGTCCTCCAGCCCCAGCCATGGGGCAATGATAAAGAGGGCTGTACCAAGGATGCAACCCCGCCTCCGATGATTCTAGAGTTTCAAAAGAAATCAGGCTGCAGACTCAACAGGAATCAGTGTACCCAGTATATGCAAAACCCTCGGCTCTTGGCTCGACCTGCAAGTGTAGCTGGGGCTAGGGTGAGGTCTCCTCCTCCTCCCTGGCTCACCCACCTAGTTCGTCTACATTCCCAGCCTGCCTTGCAGCTGGGCATGGTCAAGTGACTGAGCTCTGCCCAAGAGAATAGGATGCGTGTTAGAACCGCAACAACTCCTGCATGGGGTCCTCCCTGTTCTCTACCTGCTCGGGTGGAGGGAATGAGGCAACGCTTCAGGACAACATTGGAAAAATACAGTGAAGATGACAAAGCCCACTTACAAGCGCACTCCCCCAGCCCTGCGCCTGCCTCACTAACCTCTTACACAGGAAAACAGAAGCAGTTATTGTGTTCAAGCCATTGTCTATTTTGTGGTCTATTTGCTTGTTTTTTTGTTTGTTTGTTTTTAAGATGGAGTCTCACTCCGTCGCCCAGGCTGGAGCGCAGTGGTGTGATCTCAGCTCACTGCAACCTCCGCCTCCCGGGTTCAAGCGATTCTCCTGCCTTAGCCTCCTGAGTAGCTGGGATTACAGACGCCCACCACCACACCCAGCTAAGTTTTGTATTTTTAGTAGAGATGGGGTTTTACTATGCTGGCCAGGCTGGTCTTGAACTCCTGACCTCAGGTGATCCACCCACCTCGGCCTCCCAAAGTGCTGGGATTACAGGTGTGAGCCACTACGCCTGGCTTTTTTTTGTTTTTGTTTTTGTTTTGAGACGGACTCTCCCTCTGTTGCCCAGGCTGGAGTGCAGTGGTGTGATCTTGGCTCACAGCAACCTCCACCTCCCGGGTTCAAGTGATTCTTTTGCCTCAGCCTCCCCAGTAGCTAGGATTACAGCTCACATCACCTCACCGGCTAATTTTTGTATATTTAGTAGAGACAGGTTTCACCATGTTGGCCAGGCTGGTCTCGAACTCCTGTCCTCAAGTGATCCACCCGCCTAGGCCTCCCAAAGTGCTGGGATTATGGGCATGAGCCACCGCGCCCAACCCCAATACCTATTTCTGATGTGATAGGGTAGAAAATTGAAAAGGGAGGACCACCCAGAGATTGGCCAATGGTACGGAAAGCTGTGGACACGTGAGTTTCTCCTGAAACGCATTTTGTTTAGCATCTCCTTGCATAATCAAAATCAAGAGGGATGAAGTTAGCTGGCCTATAAATATTAATGACTTATGAAAATGCACAATGCACAACAGAGTTATGATATCAAAGCATCTTCCGAAAATCCCCCTATTGTCGTGGGGGAATTGACTGCAGTGAAAACAGACATAATTATTTCTCACTCTTTAGTTGGCTTTTTGCAAACATAATTTACATGCAATAAAATTCACCCTTTTCAGCTTGCAGATTCAACGACTGTAAATAGTCATGTAACAGCTACGACAATCAAGACATGGAACCTTCCCAGCTCTCCCAGACAACCCCTCACACCCTGAGTCCTCTTCCCTGATCCCCGGTGAGTATATCCGTCATGATTCCACTTTCCTGATATTCTGGAAAAGGCAAAACCGTGAGTGGAAATTAAACGCGAGGCTGCCGGGGACTGGGGAATTGTGTTGTCTTTCAGCCATCTCGTAGCTTCAGGACAGGGCTGTCTGTGGGAACCTGAGGCAGAGGGCAGCGGCCAGACCCACCTGCAACCCCGACTCTTCATCCCCCCGCTTAGAGCTTGCACCCCTGACTCCCATTGGCTGAACTGGGCAGAAGCCGGGAGGCAAGAGGCCCCCTGTGGAAGGTGAGAGTGGGCTGGAACCTGGGAGGCTTCTGGAAGAGAAGGAGATCAGGTGAGCCTGGGCCAGGCTTCTTAGGGCCTCCGGTGTAGCTTCTCCCCTCCGTCAAGACTCACAGAGAGCAAAGCCAAGACTGGAGAGCTTGCAAATTAAATCCATACATTTTCACTGAAATCCAAGTTGTCATTTTTTGCTAAGGTGGTAAGAAGGCTTTTGAGGAAGAAGGTAGTTACGTGATAGAATTAGGAAGGGAAGCTGAGGGCAAAGGGAATGGATTTCAGTGTGATTGCTAAGGACTATTAAATTCAGCAGCAATGCACGAGGCCCTCAGAATATTTCATCTTCAAAGACCTTTGAAAATGCACTTGAGTGAAGCTTTCCTAAAGACTAGAAAAAATACCATGTTAAAGATATATTTTAACTCAGTACTGTTAAGATTGTCTTAAGCACCTCAGAAAGCCTGATGTTATTTAAGTGATACATAGAAGGTAATTTATTTGAAACGTAAAGAGGGAAGAAAGTATGCAATCCATAAAGGAACACTATAATTTATATTTTATTACCTGGAAATATTTCTGGCTGGGATCTTACAAATGTATGTTTTGTTAGATCAGCTAAATGCATGTAAACAATTGAATAATATTATTTTTTGTCCAATATTATTTTTTGTCCACCACAGCCGGTAGTTTAATCATCCCCATCATACTGGGTATTTATATGCTGATTTTATTTCTGGAATGCTTTCTAATTATTAGCTGTTTAATAATCATACCATCTCTACAGTGTACAAGAAATGCCACCTGCTTTTACATGAAAATGGAGAATCGAAGTTTACTCTGTTTGGGGAAGAAGCTCTATATTCTAACTGAAACTTATTTAAAACAAAATGATTAACCGGGCACGGTGGCTCATGCCTGTAATCCCAGCACTGTGGGAGGCCGAGGTGGGCAGATCACTTGAGGTCAGGAGTTCGAGACTAGTCTGGTTAACATAGTGAAACCCCGTCTCTACTAAAAATACAAAAAAATTAGCTGGGCGTGGTGGCGTGCTCCTGTAGTCCCAGCTACTAGGACGGCTGAAGCAGGAGAATTGCGTGAAGTTGGGAGGTGGAGCTTGCAGTGAGCTGAGATGGCACCATTGCACTCCAGCCTGGTGGACAGTGCGAGACTCCATCTCAAAAAAAAAAAAAAAAAGATTCCCCCCCTTTCCTATTTTTCACTGCAAGCAGCTCACCTAGAGAAATAACTGAGTGGAAAAAAATGGAGTTTGGGGATCAAATGATATAGAATATATAAGGGTGCTAACTTGGGCATAAGCCAACCTGATGAGGAAATGGCAAACCTGTGAGACACATGGAGAGGGAGAGTTGGGAATATTTAGCTAGTGAAGACCTGAAGGGCTCCCCTGGAGAGGCTTGCGCTGTAGGTCCCCAGCTGTATAAATATGACCAATGGAGAAAAGCCACCAGCAGCAGAATTTGACTGAATTAGAAGACTTACTTCATCTCACAGAGCTTGTCACTGGAGGTGGAAAAAGAAGCATCTTTCCTGCCATAGGCCTTGTGGTCTTTAATCTGCCTCATTTCAACAGGCAGCACCAGGGTCGTGGCTGCATTAAAATACTCAGGTTGTAGGAAATGAAAATGCGAACATCACTCGGCAAGTGAAAAACCGAGGTGCTGATAAAGTGACCTACATAGGGTCACACATTTAGTTAGCAACATATCTGGGATGGAAACCTAGGGCTCTTGAGTTCTAATCCTAATGATTATCTCACCATTAGACAAAGCCAGCTACGGTTCCAAGCACCCTGAACTCTACTTCACTATTAAGTTATTGTGCTTTCTGTCATGGCTTAGTTTTTGACAATGAAATATTCAATTTCAATTTTTTAGACACAAAAGTATAGACATTAATACAACTCATTATATAGCTGACAACAAAGATAAAATATAAGCAAAAATAAAGACTATAATTCATCATAAATAAATATACTAAAACAACACCTGTGGTTCCCTTCTAGTCTTTTCTATGCATAGTATTTATGTAAAAGAGATTATACTTGTAGTTTTCTACTCTGCACTTCCTCTTAAAAATATGAATATTTGCTAATGTAATAATAAAAGTTATGAAAAAATATTCTTATTCCACGTCTATAGTTGCTTATTAAGTGGATCTCTGTCCTTGGATTTAATTTTCAGCTTGTATTTTACCACTTTTACTGTGATTAATTCTGTAATTATTAGTTATCCATGTATATTAAAATAAAAATTCAAAATATTACTGAAAATTTACAATAAAAATATAAATTATTCCTCATCACCACCGTCACTATCATCACCAAATCCAACATGACCCCTATTCTCTCTCCAAGTTCTCAGAGAAAAGCAATTTTGCCGGTGTCAATGCTAGTTCTGTGGTGGACAGCTCTGTACGCCCAGGAAGCAGGAACACAGATCCACTTCCTTATTTCCCCAGTTCAAACACAATCCATCACCTCTCAGCTGTAAGACAAAGAGTTCCACTAACTTCCACAATCAATTGTTCTTTTCTCCTTTTCTTACCAATTTTTCCTGTATCATCTTTTCAAATTGACATTATCACTTTACTAATGAATTTAAAACACTGTTTTTTAATCCATTTTGGAAGAAACTTGCTCATTATTCACCAAACTGATTTTCTTTTTTCGGCTGCTCTTCAGCTATTCCACATTTCTTGGCCTCCTTTGCTATGTGACTACGTTCTAGCTACTGGAATATGGCAGAAGTATGTGCCAGGTTCAGGCCTGGCCTTCAAAACATCCGGGGATGCCTTCTGAGAACTCTCTGGTTCTCTCCCATTCTAAAGTTGGAATTAAACTATTCTTGAATCTTCAGAGGTGATGGATGTTCAAGGTGGAGGGACCTGGGTTCTTGATTCAGCATTCTGAAGGCCATCTGCTAAATAACTGATGTATTTTATTGTAATAAAATAAATTTTATTTTGAGCAATTGAGAAAGAAACTACTATTTTCTTAAAAGATTGAGATTGCAGGGTTTATTTGCTATAGCAGCTGGAAGAACCTTAAGTCATGTACCCATCAATTTTACACAGCATCTCTTGCTACCCATTTGTAAAATGAAAAATGCGGTGTATCCTGCATCTGTCTCCAGTACCTTCCAACAGAAAACCTACCATGCCTCTTGTAATGTTGAGGCTTGTACTATTGACTTTCTGTTCCAAAATCACAAAGGAACCTCTTTGGAAAGGAGGTTCTCCTTCCTTGGGAAACTGAAAATCAATTAAAAACATTTAAAATATTAGGCATATGAAAATATCATTCCCTGAAGAACTAAGTAACGTGATTATAGCCACAAAGAAGATGTAATTTTATATTACTAAACTTTTGCCATTTGAAGAAAAATGTTCCTAGCTTTAAGATTGGATGAATTATCTTTTTATACCAACAACAGGGGAATAAAAGCAAAATATGAAGAAAAAAAGAGGCCAAAAATTATAAGCAAAAACAAACTAAAAAGCTGCAGAAATATTCCTGAAAGAAATACTGATCAAACTACATTTATTTCAGTGATTTTTTAAATAGAGATAAAATATGCATATATAATTTACCATATTTACCATTTTTACATGTACAGTTCAGCGGTAATAAATGCATTTATATTCTCTCTCTTTCATCCATCCTCCTTATAAATGAAATAATTAATCATTCATTAATTATTACATTTATTAATAAACGACATTTATTTCTGTGACTTTTAAGATGCATTTTCCCCACATTTGGCATCTCTGAAACAAGCCTGTACTGTGTGGTGTCTGTGGGTCAGGCAGCAGTCATGATGTGTGTGCCAGGCAAACTTGGCTGTCACCCTCGTTCAACCACAGCTGCAGGACGTTTCAGTCCAGTCACAGGAAAGCCACTCAGGCAGGAATAGGAGTACTGGTTATTACCAGGAAGTTTTTGGTTGACACCTTCTGGATGATTAAAAAAAAGCAGACTTAGAAAAATATCCCAACAGTAGTGTAACATTCTTTTAAGAAATGCATATCCTCACTTATAAGTGGGAGCTAAAGGATGAGAACACAGGACACATAGAGGGGAACAACACACACTGAAGCCTGCCAGAGGGCGGAGAATGGGAAGGAGACAATGGGGAAAACAGCTAATGGGTACTAGGCTTCATACCTGGGTAATAAAATAATCTGTACAACAAACCCTCATGACATGAGTTTACCCTTTACCTATATAACAAACCTGCACATGCACCTCTGAGCTTAAAAGTTAAAAAAAAAAAGAAAAGAAAAGAAAAGGGGAAAAAAAAAAAAAGGCCAGGCGCGGTGGCTCATGCCTGTAATCCCAGCAATTTGGGAGGCTGATGAGGGCGGATCACGAGGTCAGGAGTTCGAGACCAGCCTTGCCAACGTGGTGAAACCCTGTCTCTACTAAAAATACAAAAATTAGCCAGGCGTGGTGGCATGCACCTGTAATCCCAGCTACTTGGGAGGCTGAGGCAGGAGAATCGCTTGCACCCGGGAGGCAGAGGTTGCAGTGAGCTGGGATCACACCACTGGACTCCAGCCTGGGCGACAGAGCAAGACACTGTCTCGGGCGGAAAAAAAAAGTCACAAATCTTGCCCACTTCAATCTACTTGCTTTTTCTTCCCTCCCTGCCCAGAGCTCACCACCAGCCTAAACTCAGTGTTTATTATGCCCACTTATTTAAAAAATGGCTTTGGCTATCTTAACCTACATCTGGCTAGATAAATGTGTCATTGTTTTACATTTTTACAATTCATAAATGGCACCATACGATATATCTTGCAAACTAATTTTGTGTTGTTAATTCACTGATAGCTGTAGCTTTTCCCTGCCACTGGGTAGTAGTCTATAATATCATCCTACAATTTATTATCCATCCTTCCACTAATGCATTTATAAATGGTACCTAAATGTTTACTTTTACAAACAATGCTGCAGCAAACATTCTTTTATATATGTTTTAATATGTAAATGAATTCTATATCTAGTGCTGGCGTTGCCCCCTCATCAAATTTCCAGGGGTTAATCCAGCTATGTGTGACAGCAGCCACTGCCGCTGTCTCCAGCCCATCAGTGTCACATGCTGCCACTTTTGCCACCGTGATGGGCATAAAACGATGTCTCTCTTCAGTTTTAATATGCACTCTCTTGGTTACGAATAAAGTTTGAGTATATATATATATATATATATATATATATATATATATATATATATATGCATTGGCCATTTGGATTTTCTCTCTTTGAATTGCTGGATTACATCATTTGTCTATTTTTCTACTTGTTTGTTCATCTTTTCCTCACTGATTTGTAGTATATTTTAGGTATTCTGGATGGACAAACTTTTGTTCTATGGGCTGAGAATATCTTCTCCCCATATGTGACTCACCTTCTCCCACCTCCACTTGAAAAGATTTCTTTTGATGCACTAGTGTTTTTTTTATTATTATTATACTTTAAGTTCTAGGGTTCGTGTGCACAACGTGCAGGTTTATTACATAGGTATACGTGTGCCATGTTGGTGTACTGCACTCATTAACTCGTCGTTTACATTAGGTATATCTCCTAATGCTATCCCTCCCCCCTCCCCCCACCCCACAACAGGCCCTGGTGTGTGATGTTCCCCACCCTGTGTCCAAGTGTTCTCATTGTTCAATTCCCACCTATGAGTGAGAACATGTGGTGTTTGGTTTTGTCCTTGTGATATTTTGCTCAGAATAATGGTTTCCAGCTTCATCCATGTTCCTACAAAGGAAATGAACTCATCCTTTTTGATGGCTGCATAGTATTCCATGGCATATGTGGATGAACTAGTGTTTTTAAATGCAATACAGTGACTTTTATCTTTTCTGTGTGCAGTTTGTGATGTTTGTGTCATGTGTGTGAAATCCTTCCCTTCCCAATGAGGTTATAAAGGTATTTGTTTATATATTTGCAAAAAGCTTTAGGTTTGTTTTCTACATTTACATCTTTAATTCATGTGGATTTTATATGTGCACACTGAGAAAAATGACTACTTTTGAAAGTAGCCCGATTTTCTAACAAGCCACATGCCCACAGAACTGAAGCTTGATAAACTTATGATTTGTACAATGAAATGCACCTGCTGCCTGGTGACCAACTCTTCTTTCTTGCCCTCCCAGCCCCATTTTCCTTCCCTGCTATATACACCCCTAAATTTAGTTGGAGGCAGGAAGAAGAAACAGATTTGAGGTTTTGCTCCAATCTCTCTGGCTGGCGTCATCCAAATGAAACCTTCCTCCCTGGCAATACTCATCTCAGGGATTGATTTTCCATGCCCTGGTGAGCAGTGGAAGCTAGACTGAACCCCTGGAATTTGGCAAGAATTTTATATTTCCCCATATGGGTAAGCCATGCATCCTGAATTATTTAGCATCGCTTGTTGACTAGGTCTTTCTCTCCCGCTGGTCTTGATGCCACCTTCTGAGATTGAGGCTATGTTCTCAGCTCTACAGATGGGAGACAGGGAGAGAGGCTTGGTAAGAGTTGCCTTGCATCCGTTCCACAAATCACCCTCTTAGTGTCAAATCTCATTTCTCTGTGTAGCTGCTCCATGCAGAGGGGTGTTAGGGGAGTGAGTGCATTCCTAGTAAATGGGTCTCACCTGTGCTCTGAGCCATGGATTCCTCTACTGGGATATGTTTGTTAATGTGATCCTGTCTTCCTTCTGTCTTGCAGAAATTTGTCAAAATCTTGGTCTGTGGCTTCCTCCTTTGCTTTTCGGTGTCGTATAAACATAGTTCCTTTTGGGTTTCTTTACTCTTATTTCAATCATTTTAAAGGAAGAAAGGGGATTTAATTATATCTGCTTTGTTCTTCCTCTTAAATATTATGTAAATTATCAATTTGCATGCTGTTGTCAATATTTAATCATAAGGGAAACAGTTACTTCCAATTTTTCACTGTTACAAATAGGAGAGCAACAATTAATACTGATTTCAAACTTGCTTTTGGTTTTTAGGACATCTTCACTATGTATTTTGCCTGATTTTTGTAATTTGTTTGATCTCCTAACATACTAAATATATTAACATAGGAAATTTGTTGCAAATATTTTACCAGATTTTGTTTTCCTTTTATTTCTGCTTTATATTTAAGTGTATGTTTATTATACAGTAAAACTATATTTTCCTTCTAATTATTTTTTGGCTTTTATTGCTTTTATTCTAATGATGATATTTTTGTTGAGATAATAATTATTTATCTCCATTTTCTTAGCTTCTATTATACAGTATTATCTTTTTTCTATTTTTCTTAGTTTCTATAACACACAATATTTTCTTTTTTCTATTTTTCTGTTTAGCTACTTAAATACATCTGAGATTGGGGTATGATATGTGGTGAGAATATTAATTTATATAATAAATGACATTGGAAACCTTAGCTAGCTTCTTGAAAAATATTGGCCATTCCTTATTCTACTAATTTGTGGTATTCTCTTAATTTATATTAATTTATTTCTATAACTATCTCATCATAAAATGTGCAGAATAACAAGTAACAATTTAGAATGCCAATTTGTGCAGATGAACTTCGGTTATAATGAAACACAGATAACTCACAATACAGAGATGATGGCTTTGCAAGTTTAAACAGGAGTGTTGATGACCAGATCTCTGTCTGAATTTGTTTTAGGGAAGCTGTACCAGGTTATCTTTTTCTGACAAAGGACTAACTTCTTGGGAGTTTGTGTCACCTCTTCTGTTGAAGTACCACTGGGATGCTTCAGGATTTTCATGTCAGAGAGGCTAACAATGAGAACACATGGACACAGGAAGGGGAACGCCACACTCTGGGGACTGTTGTGGGGTGGGGGGAGGGATAGCTTTAGGAGATATACCTAATGCTAAATGACGAGTTATTGGGTGCAGCACACCAACATGGCACATGTATACATATGTACCTAACCTGCACATTGTGCACATGTACCCTAAAACTTAAAGTATAATAATAATAAAAAAAATTTCCTCACCAGGCACTCTGATGCAGGATTCCAGCGTTTATATGTTTGTCTGTTATTGGTGTATAAGAATGCTTGTGATTTTTGTACATTGATTTTGTATCCTGAGACTTTGCTGAAGTTGCTTATCAGCTTAAGGAGATTTTGGGCTGCGACAATGGGGTTTTCTAGATATACAATCATGTCATTTGCAAACAGGGACAATTTGACTTCCTCTTTTCCTAATTGAATACCCTTTATTTCCTTCTCCTGCCTAACTGCCCTGGCCAGAACTTCCAACGCTATGTTGAATAGGAGTGGTGAAGAAGGCCATCCCTGTCTTGTGCCAGTTTTCAAAGGGAATGCTTCCAGTTTTTGCCCATTCAGTATGATATTGGCTGTGGGTTTGTCATAGATAGCTCTTATTATTTTGAGATACGTCCCATCAATACCTAATTTATTGAGAGTTTTTAGCATGAAGCGTTGTTGAATTTTGTCAAAGGCCTTTTCTGCATCTATTGAGATAATCATGTGGTTTTTGTCTTTGGTTCTGTTTATATCCTGGATTACATTCATTGATTTGCATATATTGAACCAGCCTTGCATCCCAGGGATGAAGCCCACTTGATCATGGTGGATAAGCTTTTTGATGTGCTGCTGGATTTGGTTTGCCAGTATTTTATTGAGGATTTTGCATCAATGTTCATCAAGGATATTGGTCTAAAATTCTCCTTTTTGGTTGTGTCTCTGCCCGGCTTTGGTATCAGGATGATGCTGGCCTCATAAGACGAGTTAGGGAGGATTCCCTCTTTTTCTGTTGATTGGAATTGTTTCAGAAGGAATGGTACCAGTTCCTCCTTGTACCTCTGGTAGAATTCAGCTGTGAATCCATCTGGTCCTGGACTCTTTTTGGTTGGTAAGCTATTGATTATTGCCACAATTTCAGAGCCTGTTATTGGTCTATTCAGAGAGTCAACTTCTTCCTGGTTTAGTCTTGGGAGGGTGTATGTGTCGAGGAATTTATCCATTTCTTCTAGATTTCTAGTTTATTTGCGTAGAGGTGTTTGTAGTATTCTCTGATGGTAGTTTGTATTTCTGTGGGGTCAGTGGTGATATCCCCTTTATCATTTTTTATTGCATCTATTTGATTCTTCTCTCTTTTCTTCTTTATTAGTCTTACTAGCGGTCTATCAATTTTGTTGGTCCTTGGATTAAAGACTTAAACATTAGACCTAAAACCATAAAAACCCTAGAAGAAAACCTAGGCATTACCATTCAGGACATAGGCATGGGCGAGGACTTCATGTGTAAAACACCAAAAGCAATGGCAACAAAAGCCAAAACTGACAAATGGGATCTAATGAAACTAAACAGCTTCTGCACAGCAAAAGAAACTACCATCAGAGTGAACAGGCAACCTACAGAATGGGAGAAAATTTTCGCAACCTACTCATCTGACAAAGGGCTAATATCCAGAATCTACAATGAACTCAAACACATTTACAAGAAAAAAACAAACAACCCCATCAAAAAGTGGGCGAAGGACAGGAAAAGACACTTCTCAAAAGAAGACATTTATGCAGCCAAAAAACACATGAAAAAATGCTCACCATCACTGGCCATCAGAGAAATGCAAATCAAAACCGCAATGAGATACCATCTCACACCAGTTAGAATGGCAATCATTAAAAAGTCAGGAAACAACAGGTGCTGGAGAGGATGTGGAGAAATAGGAACACTTTTACACTGTTGGTGGGACTGTAAACTAGTTCAACCATTGTGGAAGTCAGTGTGGCGATTCCTCAGGGATCTAGAACTAGAAATACCATTTGACCCAGCCATCCCATTACTGGGTATATACCCAAAGGACTATAAATCATGCTGCTATAAAGACACATGCACACGTATGTTTATTGTGGCACTATTCACAATAGCAAAGACTTGGAACCAACCCAAATGTCCAACAATGATAGACTGGATTAAGAAAATGTGGCACATATACACCATGGAATACTATGCAGCCATAAAAAATGATGAGTTCATGTCCTTTGTAGGGACATGGATGAAATTGGAAATCATCATTCTCAGTAAACTATCACAAGAACAGAAAACCAAACACTGCATATTCTCACTTATAGGTGGGAATTGAACAATGAGAACGCATGGACACAGGAAGGGGAACATCACACTCTGGGGACTGTTGTGGGGTGGGGGGAGGGGGGAGGGATAGCTTTAGGACATATACCTAATGCTAAATGACGAGTTAATGGGTGCAGCACACCAGCATGGCACATGTATACATATGTAACTAACCTGCACATTGTGCACATGTACCCTAAAACTTAAAGTATAATAATAATAAAAAAAATTTCCTCACCAGGCACTCTGATGCAGGATTCCAGCGTTTTATACCCTCAATGACCCATCTTCATTACCATTAAAATTTAGTGATGCATGTAAAGACGTCTCTTTTTTTTAAATAAATCTTTGTTTTGGTCTCAGTAGGTTGTATATTTCCATTTATATTGTACTTTCTTGAGATGCACTGTAGGCTGATTACATAGGGCGATTTGTTGGTCTAGATGGAGATCACAGAAACCAAGGCATTTCTGGAACGTATTATTTCTCTGTGAGGCTACTTCAATGCCTGAGTCAAGAGCAAGAATCCCAATCCTAAATTAGTCCTTGCAGCCTTGACCTCAGCCACTTTCTCTGTTGAATCAGGCTTTTTGGTTTTGTGTCCAGCAGACAGGAAGTCATAGAGCTTTGACTCATTCATTCTGAAAAATAAATTTTTGAGGGGGCTTTTCCTATTCCAATCAGAGCTTAGCATTTACATGTTGACTAAATCACCACCCAGAAAATTCTCGTATTTGGAAGCTGCTCCTCTGAGTTTGTAATTTAGCCACATGCAGAACTGGGTTCGGAGAGTCTTCAGATACCAGACACAATACCCAGAAACATGCTGAGTTTCAAGGTTGTAGTGAATTGCCTGGGTGAGGAATTGGTACAAAAATGATATTAACAAAATCTACAACAACCTATTTACATTTCCTCAGATGTGGAAATAGGTATCATGTTTTAAGGATCCTGTCCCTCCCCTGGCCCAAATGTTAAAAGGTGAGCGTAGACAAACACAGGCCTAAGAAGAATCGACCTGGCTGGAAATGCATGAGAGAGGGTCAGGGTAAACCAGTTTCCTTCAAGAAGACAAATAGAAGCAATATCACAGTTGCTCTTTTATGAGCACTTTTCTGAGTAGAGGAAAAGATGAAAGAGGAGAAAAAAGTGCCCACGGAGATCCGGTGGAAAATAAATGGGGAACAGAGATGAAGTCAAGGTGTGTGGATCCGGGCTGTGCATTTGGGCGGTAAAAACACCACCGAAGCAGCATCCTGTTACACTTGACTTTGTTTTCAGTCCCTCTGATCTCAACTGCCACTTGAGTTCATCATTTCCTACAGTCAGCACGCTCATTCAAAATAACAAAAACCAAACCCAACACTGGAAGATGCTATAAAATCTCATCATCTGTGGAATTTGAGAATTCATGTAAAGAATCTTAGCCTGGGGACAGGAGAGAGTCCCACCAAAAACACAGCAGGCACATAAGGCCTCAAAATGGTCTTCATCTAGCTCAGCAAAACACACAACGTTTACATAAGTTTTGTGACCTTAAGAGCAGAGCTGTAATATCTGGGTCTGTAAAATGAGGAATTGAGACTCATGGTCTCAAAAGTTTCTCTGACTTCTAGTGTCCTGTGCCTCTGTGGTCTCATCTCCTGTCATTCCTCACAGGCAGCCTTCCAGAGAGGGTGGACACAATGCCTTCGACTGGCAGAGGGTCCCTGAAGAAGTGACAAGCAAACCTCAAAAAGGAGATCATGAAGTGGACGACTCAAATTTTGGATGTTGATGTGTCCTGCCCTCCCCTCTCTGCTCATTCCTCCTCACTCTGCATCCTCCTAGGCACCAATTCTCATTGGGCTGCCTTGGTTCTCTAATGCAGGGAAAAATGCTCTGCCCCAGTAATTCATTTAATGGGCCATATTCCAGAGCAACTTGTATTTTAAACAGCGCATTTGAGAGAGTAAAAGTTGACCTAGTAAGAGGACATTGATCAGAATGAAATGTCATTCTGGAATGGAGAGGGAATTGTGGAGCATCCTTTAACTCGGGCCTTGCAGGGAGTCAGTGAGGTGGGTGAGCTGGTCTCCACAGCCTTCCCTGTCATGAGAATTACATACTGTTCTGGACAATCTGCTGTCCAGCCTCCCTGACTCATCCGTCATTCTGGGTTATTGCATTCTCACCAGAGGGTCAGCAGCAGGCGCTGAGCAACAGTCCAGGTCAAGTTAAGCAAGATTCCTGTTTGCCGCTGTGTGTTAAATTCCAGTACTGGTTAAAGCATAGGCTGGCCATGTGTTTAAACTATGCACTAATAGAACAGCTCATCAAAAGAAAGTAATCTTGAATATGATAGACACATTTGTATGGTGTGATTTGTTCTGAGGCTATGGGACCAATTTCCTACCATTCTATCATTATCACTAAATTAATGTTTAAACTCTTGATGAAATAAAAATGAAAGTTGATTAGGACTTAAGACTTGAGTATCTTAGCAAGAACTATCGAGCATGTGCCATAGAATAGGTATCCTGGTGCTTATTGAGAGAGAGAGAGAGAGGAGAGAGAGAGAGAGGAGAAAGAGAGGAGAGGGAGAGGAGAGAGAGCGATTTGGATTATTTTGGAGAGAAAACAAGTAGAAGAAAAGAAAAACTGAGAAAAAGATCATTCAATTTAAATTTCCATTGATTCTGGAATAAACACTAGTTAGGCAAATGACTCTTCCCTCCTCTAATTCCTATTTAATGTAGTAACATACATATTTGACTATTTCCTCCCAGTGCCTCTTACACCAATGTCATCCCATTCCTTTCGCTCCAGGTATTTGAGTTTTCTCACTGTGTATCAGTAATACTGTAAAGGATGAAGGTTTATTCCTGTCTAGTATTTTATATGATTTATTAAAAACTTCATGGTTCACTGAGGGGTTGGTTAATCATACATCGTAAGTCTTACCACCTATCAGTTCTTTTCCAACTCTAAAACCCTATGAGTCATGTGTCAACACCAGAAATGAGCTGCTGTGAAATGATGGTGATATTTCAGTTGTTCTCTGAAATACAAAAAACACGTGGACAAGGCTTCACAGCTGTGAGATGAGAAGCATGGTACTTGTCCAGCTTATGTCATGCAAACTTGCTTTTATGGCATCAAGTCGGTGAACTTTGCCTAAAACTGCAGCATGATGTTGTCAAAACAGTGACCTGAAGACTCATCAGGATCCAAAACATGTTCTTCAGGACTCTGCCTGGATTCCTTCTAATGGTAGCTTCTTTAAAGCACTGGAGACTTCTGCTAAGATACAAAGATACTCCTTGGGAGAGAATAGGCTGAAAAATAATGATCCCTAACACATGAATAATTTCTACACTTTATTTGAAAGTTCTCACATCAATTAACTCATGTCCCTTGTAACAACCCTGAGAAGAGAGTGCAGAGGAATAATCACCCAACTGGGAGATGTGAGAAAGTGAGGCTCAGAGATGTTGGGCAACTTCGTGGAGCTCATACATACCCTCAGCAGGAAACAGATCCAAGGTTAGAACACAGGCTTTCTGGTGCTGCTCCATGCTCTCTACCAGCAAGTCATTATATTTAGGTGATCACATTATCTTTAGGAACTACAATTTCCTGAGTTCCACCAACACTGCACCAAGGAAAGGGCTGCAAGTTCCTCCAACTCAAACATTCTAGGTAGGAAGCATAGACGAAGAGTAGAATGGGGAGGAATTACGGAAGTGTTACCACTGAGCATTCACAAGACTATGAACTGCTTGAGGGAAAACATCAAGCCACATTTGTCTATCCATTCAGTCATCAATCCCGCTTTGAGCATCTGTCCATGCTAGGCACAGCGCTGGGTCATAGGGATGAGCAGACATGATGTAGAACTGAGCAAAGGCTAACACGTGGTAGGGGTGGGGACACAGAAACTTTAAGGCACTAGAAAGCAGAGAATTAATATCCAGAGAAGAAGGAACTCCTACAACTCAATAGTAAAGAATCAAATAACCCAAGTAAAACAATAGGCAAAGGGCCTGAATAGACATTTCTTCCAAAGAAGACATACGGAGATGCAACAGGTGTATATTAAGGTGCTCAGCACCACTAATCATCAGGGAAACGCAAATCAAAACCGCAATGTGACATCACTTCACCCGTTAGGATGTTTATTATTAAAAGATCTAAATATAATGAGTGTTGGTGAGGACGTGAAGAAAAGGGAAAAACTGCATGCTGTTGGTGGGACGGCAAATTGTTATAGTCATTATGGAAAGTAGTATGGAGGTTCCACAAAAAAATAAAAATCAAAATAGAACTGCCATATGATCTAGCAATTCCACTTCTGGGTGTACGTTAAAAAATAAAATGAAATCATTATCTCAAAGACATAACTGCACTCCCATGCTCACTGCACTATTATTCACAATAATCAAGATACAGATGCAACTTAAGAATCCATTGATAGATGAAGAAATTGTAGTAACTATCAAATGAAATGTTATTCAGCTTTAAAAAAAGAATGAAATCCTGCTATTTACAAGAATATGAATATTATACCAAGTGAAATAACCCAGGCACAGAATGATAAACACTGCATGATCTTACTTGTGAAATCTAAAAAGGTGGACTTATAGAAATAGAGTAGAACATCAGTTGAGGACGGGTGATCTTGGTCAAAGGGTACAACCTTGCAGATAGAAGCTGAATAAGCTCTGCAGATCTAATGTATATAACACTGTATTGTGTACTTGGAATTTGCTGAGAGCAGATCTTAAATGTTCTCATCACACATACACACACACACGCACACACACAGGCACACACATGCACACACAGGCACACACAGGCACACACACAGGCATGCCCACACACACACGTGCACACAGACGCACAAGGCACACACGTGCGCACACACACGTGCACACACATGTGCGCAGACACACGGGCACACACAGGTACACACGTGCGCACACACAGGCACGCACACACGCACACTCAGGCACGCACATTCAGCACACACACTCAGGCACACACACTCAGGCACACACCGTGGCAACAAGGTTAGGATGGGTATGTCCCTTAGCTTGATCGTGGTGATCATTTCACAATGTGTTTATCAAAACACCATATCGCGCACCCTAAATATACACAATTTTTATTTGTCATACCTTAACAAAGCTGGAAAAAAATATCAAAAAGAAAGGAGCCAGTGGGAAGCCTGTTCAGAAGGAGCTCTGCTTCCTGCAGGCTGCCACCTGGAGAAACACTTCTTCCCAGGATGGGCTTGGTATGTCTTCATTTCAGGCCACGCTGCCTCTGTCCAGATTAACAGATGTTTTCTCTTGCACTTCATCCCTCCCCCACAGCTTCCAGGTAGAGGCTTCTTTCAAGCCACAGGATCGATTCGTCGTGGAAGGAATCAATACTGGTGTTTGGAAATGAAAAGTAGGCAAAGGCGGAAGGTATTTAGCTTTGGCGGACAACGTCTCTGTCTAAATTCTCCCTCCTCCTGCAGCTGAGCTGGAAACATCCAGATTGGAACCCATGCTCAGTCTCAGGGCATTTAAGGAATAATTCATCACAACATTCCACCCGAGCCCCGCCAAAACCTCAGATAACTAACATTTCCTCTGTTGTAAACTTTCAGGAAAGAGTGGCACATCTCCAAGGAAGCAAGCTGATTTGGGGGACTTACCCTGGACACTATTTTTCTACGATGCCTTGCATTTACTGCATGTCCTGTGAAATCTCCAAAACCCTATTCATATTATTCATATGCTTCTATGGTCTTTTTGTTTGTTTGTTTTTTTGTTTTTTGAGATGGAGTCTCGCTCTGTGGCCCAGGCTCACAGATCTCGGCTGTGGCGCGATCTCGGCTCACCGCAACCTCCACCTCCCTGGTTCAAGCGATTCTCCTGCCTCAGCCTACCAAGTAGCTGGGCCTGCCATCATGCCTGGCTAATTTTTGTATTTTTAGTAGAGACGGGGTTTCACCATGTTGGCCAGGCTAGTCTTGAACTCCTGACCTCAGGTGATGTGCCCGCCTCAGCCTCCCAAAGTGCTGGGGTTACAGGTGTGAGCCACTGCACCCAGCCTAAGGCAAGAAATATTAATGCATTCTAATCTCTAACAGAATTTTCAGTTTTCTAAATTTTACCTATAATTTACTGAAGTTTACTTACTGAGACAAATGAAAAAGGATTCTGCAATTCGATAAAGAGTTTTAGTAAAAAAGAAGGGAATAAAAAAGGCCGGAGGGGTCCTTCAGTTAAATCATATTTAATAGTTGCAAATCTAATCCCTAGAACATTTTGGTAAATCAGATTTCCCTGGTAGTTTTTATTTGTACTCAAAAGAAACTCTTTCCTTTATTCTTTTTGCCCCTGCCTTTCCTCACCCCTTCTCTGAAACTAGGTCAACCTTCACCCACACAACAGCACTAGAACAAAGAGAAATGGGCATTCCTAAAGGACCAGGGGCATCAATCTGCAACACTTTCAAAATGACAGAAAGGAGAAAGCATGTTTTATGAGGAAAAGAAGATCTAGAGGCATTTTGATGTTTATATTTGCTACAGTTGTACAGGAATGATGAGACATGTAATTAATAAAGACCATAAGCCATCATCCTTTATAAGCCACCAATTATATGGAAGGCATTATATAAGGATTGAAAAATGTATATATGAAATCTCATCCCTGAATTGCAGGAGCTTAGACTGAAGCTGGAAATTGAGTCTCACACCCACTCTACCTCCTTCACCTGTGTTCCTGGTGCCTTGAACAGGGACTGACCCAGAGAAGGCACCCTACAGATATTTGTCAAAGAAGTAAACCAATGAATTAATGTATGATTTATACATTAATTACAGGAGTATAAAGTGCTTAGAATTCAGAGAAGGCAGAGAAATTACCTCTGGATAGGGGACTTCCATGAGGGTCCCATGGTGGAGGAGCTGGGAACAGAGACTCTGTAAGATTTAAAAGGGGAGATAAGGTGGGCAGTGAGCCAGGTGTCAGGGCAGGACTCTGGCTGAATGGACAGGAGTGACCAGAGGCAGGGAGGGTTCATTTCTCCCTGTCCCCAAAGGCACCTTAATGTTCTGATCATGAAAAATGGTCCTGAGCTGCCAAACACTTCATTCTTCCTGACATCAGATATGTGCTCTTCCCTCAGCCAGATGAAACGAGGGAGGAAAGTATTTATATATATATATATATATATATTTATTATACTTTAAGTTCTAGGGTACATGTGCACAACATGCAGGTTTGTTACATATGTATACATGTGCCATGTTGGTGTGCTGCACCCATTAACTCGTCATTTACATTAGGTATATCTCCTAATGCTATCCCTCCGCCAGTCCCCCACCCCACGACAGGCCCCAGTGTGTGATGTTCCCCTTCCTGTGTCCAAGTGTTCTCATTGTTCAATTACCACATATGAGTGAGAACATGCAGTGTTTGGTTTTTTGTCCTTGCGGTAGTTTGCTGAGAATGATGGTTTCCAGCTTTATCCATGTCCCTACAAAGGACATGAACTCATCATTTTTATGGCTGCATAGTATTCCATGGTGCATGTGTGCCACATTTTCATAATCCAGTCTATCATTGTTGGACATTTGGGCTAGAAATACCATTTGACCCAGCCATCCCATTACTGGGTATATACCCAAAGGAATATAAATCATGCTGCTATAAAGACGCATGCACATGTATGTTTATTGCAGCACTACTCACAATAGTAAAGACTTGGGAGGAAAGTATTTTAAACAAACGTTGCCACTCTTTCAAAACTTAACCCAAGGATTACCTTCCTTGGGACGTGTGACTTGGATGCATTCTAAGAGTGTTCCAACAACAACAACTGCTATTATTTCCTGAGGCTTACTCTCTGCGGGGCCCTTGGACTAACAATAACAAAGTCAACAGGTTATAAACAACAAAATACATCAGTCATATACTATATTTTATCAAGTCTAAAATGTCATTGACTGTAATAAAGACGATTGCTTCCTACACCAACAAGAAAGAAACAACATTTTGGCACTTAAAATTTGAAACATTAATTTTTACTTAAGTCCTTATTTCATTAAAATAACCCTTTGTATCTACTGATGATTTTTGCCACATATCAATTTTGTTAATAAGCTGAAAGGAAAATACAAATGAAATAAACTTGTTTCTGCATTCCTGAAATGTCTTCACATCCAGGGTTGGCTCTTCTGAATCACATTTCAACACCAATAGAGTCAAGATCATTTTTTTCCCAGTACAATGTCAGGATTGATGTCATTAACAGTGCTTAATTAATAGGTTGGTGCAAAAGTAATTTTTTTTTTGAGATGAAGTCTCGCTCTGTTGCCCAGGCTGGAGTGCAATGGTGCAATCTCGGCTCACTGCAACCTCTGCCTCCAGGGTTCAAGCAATTCTCCTGCCTCAGCCTCCTGAGTAGCTGGGATTACAGGCACCCACCACTACGCCCAGCTAATTTTAGTAAAGAGGGGATTTCACCATGTTGGCCAGGCTGGTCTCGAACTCTTGACCTTGTGATTCGCCCACCTCGGTCTCCCAAAGTGCTGGGATTACAGGCATGAGCCAATGGGTCCAGCCGTAAGTTTTTAAATGGCAAAAACCTCAATTACTTTTGCACCATCCTAATATTTTTCTCATAAGCCTCTGACATCCATGCTACAGGTTTTGATGTATATCTACAAGCAATGGCAACAATATCATCACCTTTCCCTGACAATAGGGATTGTAAAGATCCATCCTAGAGATATTAAAATATAGAAAATTATCTCTACACTAAAATTGATGAATGACGGTACCACGAGTAGAGCAAGCTAGACATCAGAAGTACTAGTGGGTGGGGCACTGTGGCTCATGCCTGTAATCTCAGCACTTTGAGAGGCCAAGGCAGGTGGATCACCTGAGGTCAGGAGTTCGAGACCAGTCTGGCCAACATGGTGAAACCTCATCTCTACTAAAAATACAAACAAATTAGCTGGGTGTGGTGGTGCACACCTGTAATTCCAGCTACTCGGGAGGCTGAGGCAGGAGAATTTCTTGAAATAGGGAGGCGGAGGTTGCAGCAGGTCGAGATCACACCACTGCACTCCAGCCTGAGCAACAGAGTGAGACTCAGTCTCAAAAAAAAGAAAAAAAAGTACTAGGGATTATAGTGCAATTTCAGATAGAGGGTGGACAGGGAGGACCTCCTTGAAAAGTTAACATTTGAGCAAAGACTTGAAATTCCTGGGGAGTAAGGAGTACAGATATCTGGATAAAGAGTTTGTGTATTAGGGTCCTTCAAAGAAACAAAACCAATAGGAGAGGTACATATATCCTTGTGTGTGTGTGTATATATATATATGTGTGTATGTGTGTGTGTGTGTGTGTATACACATACACACTTATCTGTTTGTATATATACATATATATACTTATCTGTTTGTGTATATATCCATATATGTAAGTTTATATATAATTTATATAAAAGGAGATTTTACATATTGTATATCTAAGAGATATCTATATCTTTACATATATAATACATATATATATGGAGATTTATTATGAGGAATAATCACATGATTAGGAGGCTGAGAAGTCCCAGAATCTGCCATCTGCAGACTGAAGAGGCAGGAAAGCCAGTGGTATAATTCAGTATGAGTCCCAAGACTTGAGAACCAAGGAGACAGTGGCGTGAATCCGAGTCCAAGGGCCAGAGAAGATGACGTGGAGCATCCCCGTTCAGGCAGGTGGGCAGGGGCAGAAAGGGGTGAATTCTTTCCTCTGCCTTTTGTTCTATTTGAGTCCGCCTCCATGGACTGAAAGATGCCCCAATGGATTGGGGAAGGCTCTCTGCTTTACTGAGTCCACGAATTCAAATGCTAATCCCATCTAGAAATGCCTTCACACACACACCCCAAAATAATGTTGAATCTGGGCATCCTGTATCCCACTCAGGTTGACACATTAAGTTAACCATCACTGTTTGCGTATGCCAGGGACAAGTGGATAAATATCCCAGGCTAGGGTATGCTGGCATCATAGAAGAACATTGGGACGCCCACGTGTCTTGACCAAGCCAGTGTGGAGAAGGGGAGAGATGCGGGCACGCTGGTTACCAGGGCCTTGTGAGCTGTTGTTGGGCCAGGTCTACTCTGCATGAGAGACCATGCTCTCACAGACGTGGAACCCAGCAGCAGTGAATCTGAAGCATGTTTTTCTAGGACCACCCTGCCTGCCTGCCGGGCTGAGCATATCAGAGGGTCGAGGAAGGAAGCAGACCAGTTCCAAGGCTGTGCAGTGATTGGGGTGAGGGTGTTTCAGCCGGACAAGACCACCACAGTGATGAAAAGTGGTCAGATCCTCGGTGTGTCCTCAAAGTAGAGCCAGTGGGAGTCCCTGACACATTAAACATGCTTCTTTCCAAGTTCTTTAGAATAAAAATAGGGGGCTTCTTTTTCAATGAGTGACACAAGTTTCAAACTTCAAAACATAGGTTTTTCTTCAGAAGTAAGAATTATAATTTTATTTCCTTATGCATTTCCCGAATAGGCAAGGGAATTGGAGGCAGCAGCATCACAGAGATAAAATTCGAGTGCATTTTACAACATCAATAATTGAGTAAAGGAGTGTAATAACTTGTGCTGGAAGAGGGGTAATCAGATGTCATACTTCAGGCCAGGAGATGAGCTCATTTCAGAAATCAGCCAATATTTTGTTTGTTTCTTCTTTTTTATCATCTCTCAAATTTCTGGAATACAGACAGAATTCTCATTTGGAAATATTACTGTGTGAAGGTCTTAGTAACATTTCAGTATTTCAACAAGGAAGGCCCCTTAAATAAAGCTCCAGGTGACTCGTTATAGGGAGAATTCCCCACCAGTAGGCACAGGTGAGCGCTGGTTTTGGAATTGAGCTATTATTTCTTTTCACCTCATTTAACCCTCCTGGGGCCCCCTCTGTGGCGGATTGTTATTCCCTTGTCAGAGGTAAGGAAACAAAGTTTCTGGTGGCTTAGGCAACGTGCAGAAATGGCATTTAAATTTAGGTGTGCCGCACTCCGAAAGCCAAGCTAATTTGGCACCATGGTGTGCCTGCTCCTGACCGAAACTTTCTGAGTTCCAGCTCAATGCAATTCAACATCTCGGTATTGCCACCACACAACCATCTGATCTCAAGCAAGTCACTTACACTTTTCATTTTGACTTTCCAAAGTTTGCTTCTGTGAATTTTCCCCTCTGTTTGAGACATGAGGAGATCAATATTTGCCCTGACTTCCTAGCAGAATTATTTTCTGTAAACAAAGTGATGTGCTAGATATGTGAGAAATTTAGAAACAGAGAAATCAGTATTGGAGAAGAAGAGTCCAGTTAACTTTTAATGAACCATGGCCAGTCTGAGAACAAGAGCTGCCTCAAGGGCTCTCTGAATTTTAATGCAGGACTTTTTGTTTATGTACTTTCTTGGGGAGAAGTTCCACAGTTTTCCACGTCCTCCAAAAAAGTTTAGCAATTGCCTTGAGCCATCTTGCAATTTCTTTTTTCTTTCTTCTCCCACCACAAATAGGCTCTGAGGCTCCTCTGTTGCCACTTAATAGCTTAGGGGTCTGTGTGGCTCTCAACAGTGTCTCCCAGCAGAGCAGCTGGAGTGGCCCCCTTTCCTGCCATCATCCACACAATCTACTCTGAGGATTTCCCTCTTGTGCAGTGCACAGCTGGGCAGCTTGACCAGTGACCCAGAGTCCATTCCTGCTCTCCCTCTACCTCTGTACACCTGCTGTCTTTAAGGCACAGGTCGAGGACTGGTGAGGTTTGAAAGAACCCATAGGGTAATGAGGAACGTGGAGCATGTGCAAGGAGACCTGACATAGAATTTATGCCCTGCGTTGTGAGGATGGATGGTCATTTTTGACTTTCCAAAATTGACTTCCTTGATTCCTTCTCATGAGTGCTAGATACATTTCTTTGGTGTTGAAACTGTGAAAACTGAAACACACATGATTTTTATAATTAGAAACTAGAACATTGTCTAAAAAATTGTGTGATGCACCCAAATATTAAGGTGATTAGATAAGCGCACACAGGGCTTTGAAATTCCGAAATGTGCTGCCTGTTCTGTGCCATTGGCCACTGATTGACTTTCTGCATTTGCTGCAGTTTATACATAAGCTCTACAAACAGCTTAAACTAAGCAATAGAAAATAATTTTAAAAATTGATATGTAATTGTATATATTCTTGAAGTACATGTGATGTTTTGATACTTGCATGCAACGTGTAATGATCAAATCAGGGTAATTAGGACATCCATCACCTCAAACATACACCATTTCTTTGTGTTGGGGATACTTCAAATCATTTCTTCCAGCTATTTTGAAATATATAATAAAGTTTCGTTAACTGGGCTGGGTGCTGTGGCTCATGCCTGTAATCCCAGCACTTTGGGAGGCCGAGGAGGGTAGATCACTTGAGGTCAGGAGTTCAAGACCAGCCTGGCCAACATGGCGAAACCCCGTCTCTACTAAAAATACAAAAATTAGCCTGGCACGGTGGTGCATGCCTGTAGTCTCAGCTAGTTGGGAGGCTGAGGCAGGAGAGTGGCTTGAACCTGGGAGGCAGAGGTTGCAGTGAGCCAAGATGGTGCCGCTACACTCCAGCCTGGGCAACAGAGTTAGATTCCATTAAAAAAAAAAAAGTTTTGTTAACTGTAGTCACTGTGCTGTTGAACATTAGAATGTAGTCCCTCATCTCATCGTATTTTTGCACCCATTAAGCAACCTCTCTTCATGTCCCCTCAACACCTTTCCCAGCCTCTGTAACCAATATTCTACTCTTTGCCTTCATGAAATCAACTTTTTTAGCTCCTAAATATGAGTGAGATCATACAATATTTGTCTTTTTGTGCCCGGTTTATTTCAACTAACATGACAACCTATAGTTCCATGCGTGTTGCTGCAAATGACAGGATTTTATTGTATTTTATGGCTGACTAGTATTCCACTGTGTATATATATATATATATGGTATTTCTCTATCCATTCATTTGTTAATGGACACTTAGGTTGATGCCATATCTTGACTATTGAGAAGAGTGCTGCAATAAAATGGGTGTGCAGATATCTCTTTGACATACCAATTTCTTTTGTTTTGGATATATTCCCAGCAGTGGGATTACAGGATCATATGACAGATCTATTTTTAGTTTTTGAGAACCCTCCATACTGTTGTTCACTGTGGCTGTGCTGTACTAATTTACCTTCCCACCAGAAGTGTACTAGCATTCCCCTTTCTGTGCATCTCTGCCAGATATGCTATTTTTTGTCTAAAAAGGAATATTTTAGGGTTCTTATAATATGCCTTGTTACTGTCACTTTTGATCTATTTCCTACAGCCCATGGTAAAATTGTATTAATAATTCTTATCTAAATTACAAATGCATAAATATTGGGATAATAGAATGCGACAGTTAATTCAGTCTCAAGAGTGTAAACACATTTTATTATAATTAATGATCACAGAAGAAAATATCTTTTTTAGAGGAAGTGGCAAATTTCAAACATTTTTGCAGAACTAAGCTTGCTACACACATGGATGAGAAGTTTAAACTTCAATGAATTAATGAGGAAATGTTATGGGCTATACAACTTAGAATCTGATGATCACTTCTTAGGTGATCAGGACAGCTGCAGTAGAGCAGGATGGTGTGTGCATGGAGGCGGTGCAAGCTCTCCGGGAGCAGGGGCAGTGTCTGCTTTGTTCAGTCTGGAATCCACTGCCAGCATACAACAAACACTCAATAAATGCTCCCTCAAGGAAAAATGGGCGATTAGGAGCCACTCAGCTCAAAAATATGTCTTCATCATACAAATTCTTTAGAATTTATTTCTTTGCTTATAAGATTGAAGATGGGTATAGCTGACGAGTTCCATAAAAAATATATATATTTAGATAAATCAGTGAGTCTGAAATATACCATGGAAGAGTCAAACAGAAATTTCTACTACATTCCATCAATTGTGAAGGTGAAGAATTTTTCTGTAGAAGAATTGAACATCTTCATTCATACCGTTGGCAGCTACCAGTAGCTATCAGTCTGTTTCATGCCCTAAAGCAGGGGTCCTTGACCCCCAGTACCAGTCCATGGCCTTGTCTAGGGCTGCACACCTCCTAGAGGAGGTGAGGGGTGGCCAAGCAAGCAAAGCTTCATCTGTATTTATAGCCACTCCCCATTGCTCACATTACTGCTGGAGCTCTGCCTCCTGTCAGATCAGCAGCGGCATTAGATTCTCATAGGAGCTGGAACTCTATTGTGAACTGCCTGTGTAAGGGATCTAGTCTGTGCACTCCTTATGAGAATCTAATACCTGATCCTTATGAGAATCTAATACCTGAAGATCTGTTGTCTTCCATCACCCCCCAGTGGAACTGTCTAATTGCAGGAAAACCAGCTCAGGGCTCCCACTGATTCTACATTATGGTGAGTTGTATAATTCTTTCATTTTATATTACAATGTAATAATAATAGAGATCAAGTGCACAGTAAGTGTAATGCACTTGAATCATCCCAAACCCATCACCTGCCACTCCATACCAGTCTGGTCCATGGAACAATTATCTTCAATAAAACCAGTCCCTGGTGCCAAAAAAGTTGGGGACTGCTGCCTTAAGGAACACAATTTTACTTAGGCGTCCTCCACATCCCCTCGTAGCCAAGGGCCTCAGTGGAAGAGGCCCCATCTCCAGCCCCAAGTAGGTTGAATGAATCTCAGAGCCTTTGCCTGTGATTGCCGCTGGCATGTGCCTGAGGACCGGGCAGTGGGACAAGAAAGAAAATCAGCTGGGGGATGGTAGAAGACATTTCTTCCTTCTAGGGAAAGCCAAAGAACCAACATCTCTTCTTTGTCTAGCTGTTGGATGCTATCGGCTGAATTTCTGCATCCCCGAAACCTGCCTAAAATTTATATATTGAATCCCTAACCTTCAATGCATTGGGAAGTGGGTCCTTTGGGAATTAATTAGGTATAGACGAGGTCATGAAGATGGGGCTCCCATGATGGGATTAGTGCCCTTCTAAGAAGATGGAGGGGGCTGGGCACGGTGGCTCACACCTGTAATCCCAGCACTTTGGGAGGCCGAGGTGGGCACATCAGGAGGTCAGGAGATCAAGACCATCCTGGCTAACATGGTGAAACCCCATCTCTACCAAAAATACAAAAAAAGTTAGCTGGGCATGGTGACAGGCACCTGTAGTTACAGCTACTTGGGAGGCTGAGGCAGGAGAATGGCATGAACCCAGAAGGCAGAGCTTGTAGTGAGCCAAGATCTCGCCACCGTGCTCCAGCCTGGGCAACAGAGTGAGACTCCATTTCAAAAGGAAAAAAAAAAAAAAAAAGAAGAAGAAGATGGAGGGACACCAGAGCTCCCTCTCTCTACCTTATGAGGATACACATGAGGTGGCCGCCTATAAGCCAGGAAGAAAGAATTCAGCAAGAAGCTTATCTGCTGGCACCTTGATCTTGGGTTTTCCAGCTTCCAGAACTGTGGGAAAAAAATGAATGCTGTTGAAGCCACCAGTCTGTGGTAGTTGGTTACAGCAACCCAAGCTAACACACTGGAAATTCAGGCTGAGTCAGCTTGCTAGAAGGCTGAGGATGAAGCCAATATTGAAATAGAAAGACACAATTAAGTCATTGAATCATATGAGCTTATTATTCTTCCTATTTTTGACTTCCTTCTATAGTAAATTATGAACTTTCTTGTTTTAGTCCAGTCTGAGTCAGAACTTTTGCATCATTGAGCTTAAGGCTTAATTAATATAATATCTTATTCCTCCTCCTTCTCCACACTCTCCTTCCTTTTCTCCTTTCCTCCTCCCCTCTTTACTTTCCCCGTTTTCTTCTTCTCTTCTTCCTTCATTTTTTACATCTGGTTGTTAGGTAGTTCTTATTGTATAACAAATTACCCCCAAATTCAGTAGCTTAACACATCCCATAGCTTTTGTGGGCCAAGAATCGAGGTGTGGTTTAGTTTTATCCTGTGGCTCAGAGTCTCTTGAAAGCCTGTGATGAAAGTGTCAGCCAGAGATGCAGTCATCTCAGAGCTAAATGGGAATGATCCACTTTCAAGTTCCCTCATGTGACTGACGGCAGATCCCAGGCCCTTGGCAGTTGGTGTCATACACATTGTTCCTTGTCATGTGGGCCCCTCCACAGGGCAGCTTGCAACATGGCAGCCGGCTTCCCTCAGAATGAGTGAGAAAAAGAAAGAGGCAAAACAAGCCATAGTGTTCTTGTAACCCAGTTTTGAAGGTGGCATCTCTTCAACTCTGCCATGTTCTCTCTGCTAGAAGCAAGTCACTAAACCCAGTCCACACTCAGGTTGAGGAAACACACAGGGCTCCTGGGTATTTTACCCTCCTGGAATCCACATGTGATGATATACACGGAGTACTGCCAACTTAGGAAGCTGACCAGAGATTTTACTGTGGCTGCATTATGTAGGTATGATTGATTGTTTCATTGCTGGCCCATTGAACTCAGTCTCTAGGCCACCCATCCCCAGAGATCAGGTTGGTAACATGTGGCCTTTGTGCCACGTGTTATATTTTTAGCACAAATTATATTTTTAGCATAAAATACTAGGCATAGTCCCAGGGACCCACCGTAAATAACAAAGACACTCCTATCACTCAAGACATTTCAAGGGTTTAAAGGTTCACTTCCAGGAGCTGGAGACAAACACCAGGCTTTGATTTGGGCAAATCAAATCATTCACCAAACATCACATTAATATGGGTCATAAAAGAGCCAGAGGAGCACGTTAATATCAGATAAAGTAGATTTCAGAGCATATACTATTACCAGGGATACAGGGATCATTTCACAATGATATAGGTGTCAATCCCTCAAGAGAATATAATAACCCTAAATGTTTATGCACTTAATAGCAGAGCTTCAAACTACATGAAACAAAAACCGATAGATCTGCAAAGAGAAATGGAAAAATCTATCATTATAGCTATAGACTGTCATACCTCTCTCTCAATAATGGATAGAATAAGTAAACAGGGATGTAGAACACTAGAACAATAGGATCAACAAACCTGACCGACTTTTTATCACAGAGAACTCCAGCCAACAGCAGGAGAGCACACATCCTTCTCAGGTGTGCATGGATCACTCGCCACAGTAGACCCAATTCTGGGCCATGAAACAAGTCTCAATAAATTTAAAAGGGTTAAAGTCATGGGATGTATGTGATATGACTGTAATGAAAATAAATTAAAAATTTATAACAGCAAGATCGCTGGAATATATCCAAATATTTGGAAACCAAATTATACCCCTTTAAATAATCTGTATTTCAAAGAAGAAACAAAAAATGCAATCAAAGAAGAAATTTAAAAACTATAAAGAATTTTCAAGGGAATGAGAATAAAATCATACCACGTTAATTTTGAGGGAGTCTTTTACAGCAATTTTTAGAAGGAAATTTATTAAATGTCTACATTAGAATAGAGCACAGGTTTCAAATCAACATTTTGGTTTCCATCTTAAGAAACTAGAAAAAGAAAAGCAAATTAAGATCAAAGGAAGTAGAAGAAAGGAAATAAAAGTTCAGGGTGGAAATTAATAAACTAGAAATTAGGAAAATAATGGAGAAAATAAATAAAACCAAAAGCTAGTTCTTTGAGAAGATCCATAAAATTAATAAAGTTCTAACCAAACTAAGCAGAGAAAATAGGTAAGACACAGCTTACAAATATTAAAAATAAAAGAGGTGGCATCACTATAGATTCTATTCTTTCTTTCTTTCTTTTGAGATAGTCTCACTCTGTTGCCAGGCTGCAGTGCAGTGGCGCAATCCCGGCTCACTGCAACCTCCACCTCCTGGATTCAAGCAGTTCCCCTGCCTCAGCCTTCTGAGTAGCTGGGACTAAAGTCATGCGCCACCACACCTAGCTAATTTTTTGTATTTTAGTAGAGACGGGGTTGCACCATGTTGGCCAGGATGGTCTCGATCTCCTGACCTCGTGATCCGCCCACCTCGGCCTCCTAAAGTGCTAGGATTACAGGCGTAAGCCACTGCACCGGCCAGATTCTATAACTATTAAAAGGGTAATAAGAGACTATTAAGAAAATTTTAAGGGCACCTGACCTTCATGTGCCTGCTTGAGTCTCTTCCAAATGTACTTGTATTAGTCCATTTTCACACTGCTGATAAAGACATACCCAAGACTAGGAAGAAAAGGAGGTTTAATTGGACTTATAGTTCCACATAGCTGGGGAGGCCTCAGAATCATGGCAGGAGGTGAAAGGCACTTCTTACGTGATGGCGGCGAGAGAAAATGAGGAAGAAGCAAACGTGGAAACCCCTGATAAACACATCAGATCTCACAAGACTTATTCACTATTACGAGAATAGCATGGGAAACACCAGTCCCCATGATTTAATTACCTCCTCCTGGGTCCCTCCTACAACATATGGAAATTCTGAGAGATACAATTCAAGTTGAGATTTGGGTAGGGACAGAGCCGAACCATATCATTCCATCCCTGGCCCTTTCAAATCTCATGTCCTCACATATCAAAACCAATCATGCCTTCCCAACAGTCCCCCAAAGTCTTAATTCATTTCGGTATTAACCCAAAAGTCCACAGTCCAAAGTCTCATCTGAGACAAGGCAAGTCCCTACTGCCTGTAAGCCTATAAAATCAAAAGTAAGCTAGTTACTTCCTAGATACAATGGAGGTACCAGTATTGGGTAAATATAGCTGTTCCAAATGGGAGAAATTGGCCAAAAGAAAGTGGTTACAGGGCCCATGCAAGTCTGAAATCCAGAAGGGCAGTCAAATTTTAGGGCTCCAAAATGATCTCTTTTGACTCCCTGTCTCACATCCAGGTCACGCTGATGCAAGAGGTGGGTTCCCATGGTCTTGGGCAGCTCCACTCCTGTCGCTTGGCAGGGTACAGCCTCCATCCCAGCTGCTTTCACAGGCTGGCACTGAGTGTCTGCAGCTTTTCCAGGTGAACGGTGCAAGCTGTTGGTGGATCTACCATTCTAGGGTCTGGAGGACAGTGGCCCTCTTCTCACAGCTCTACTGGGTGGTGCCCTAGTAGGGACTCTGTGTGGGGGCTCCGATCCCACATTTCCCTCTGCACTGCCCTAGCAGAGGTTCTACATGAGTGCCCTGCTCCTGCAGCAAACTTCTGTCTGGGCATCCAGGCATTTCCATACATGTTCTGAAATCTAGGTGGAGGTTCCCAAACACAAGTTCTTGACTATTGTGCATTTGCCGGCTCAACACCATGTGGAAGCTGCCAAGGCTTGGGGCTTACACCTTCTGAGGCTACAGCCTGAGTTCTACATTGGCCCCTTTCAGCCATGGCTGGAGTAACTGGGACACAGGGTACCAAGTCCCTAGGCTGCACACAGTACAGGGACCCTTTTCTTCTAGGTCTCTGGGCCTGTGATGGGAGGAAGTGGCCCAGGAAACCATTTTCTTCTAGGCCTCTGGACCTGTGATGAGAGGGGCTACCATGAAGACCTCTGATGTGCCCTGGAGACATTTTCCCCATTGTCCTGGGGATTAACATTTGGTTCCTCATTACTTATGCACATTTCTGCAGCCAGCTTGCAGAAAATAGGTGTTTCTTTTCTATCACGTTGTCGGGCTGCAAATTTTCTGAACTTTTATGCTCTGCTTCCCTTATAAAACTGAATGTCTTTAACAGCACCCAAGTTACCTCTTGAATGTTTTGCTGCTTAGAAATTTCTTCTGCCAGATACCCTAAATCATCTCTCTCAAGTTCAAAGTTCCACAAATCCCTAGGGCAGGGGCAAAATGCCACCAGTCTCTTTGCTAAAACACAACAAGAGTCACCTTTGCTCCAGTTCCCAACAAGTTCCTCATCACCATCTGAGACCACCTCAGCTAGAACCTTATTGTCCATATTGCTATCAGGCTTTTGGTCAAAGCCATTCAGCAAGTCTCTAGGAAGCTGCAAACTTTCCCACATTTTCCTGTCTTCTTCTGAGCCCTCCAAACTGTTCCAACCTCTGCCTCTTAACCAGTTCCAATGTCACTTCCACATTTTCAGGTATCTTTTCAGCAATGCCCCAATGTACTGGTATGAATTTACTGCATTAGTTTGTTTTCATGCTGCTGATAAAGACACACCTAAGACTAGGAAGAAAAAGAAGTTTAACTGGACTTATTGTTTCACATGGCTGGCGGGAGGCCTCAGAATCATGGTGGGAGGTGAAAGTCACTTCTTACATGGTGGTGGCAAGAGAAAATGAGGAAGAAGCAAAAGCAGAAACCCCTGATAAACCCATCAGATCTTGTGAGACTTATTCATTATCATAAGAATAGCATGGGAAAGACTGGCCCCCATGATTCAGTTACCTCCCCCTGGGTCCCTCCCACAACACATGGGACTTCTGGGAGATACAATTCAAGTTGAGATTTGGGTGGGGACACAGCCAGACCATATCAGTGCTTTTCTTTTTGTCCTGTTCTAAAGCCTTTTAAAATAAACTTCCAATCCTGCTCTGAAAAAAAAAAAAAAGAACAACTTTAAGAACAAGTCTGTGACAAAATTCAACAGTTTCAACAAAGTGGACAAATTTGTTGAAAGACAAACACTGACAAAATTCACTCAATAAGAAATGTATATTTGAGTAGCCTTACATCTATTAGAGAAATTGAATTTGTTGCTAAAAAAGCCTTTTCACAAAGAAAACTACAGGCCCAAATGGCTTCAATGGTGAATTTCCCTAAGCACTTAAGAAATAAATATTACCAATTCTACACAAAGTCTTCCAGTCAAAATATTGCTGAAACTAAACAACTAAATAATGTTACTGGGTCAGAATACTTATTATTGTTAAGATGTTGATTCTCTCCCAAATTGATCAGTAGATTCAACCTAATTCCCATCTAAGTCCTAGAAGATATTTTTGTAGAAATTGATGAGGTGATTCTAAAATTCATATGGAAATGGAAATGAAGAGGATGTGGAACAACAGTGAACATTAGCATAGGAACATCTCACAAAGTTACTGTAGTGTGAAAGAAACAAATAATGAAAGAATAAATAAAGTATGATTCTAGCAATTTAAAGTTTATAAATAAGAGTAGTATGTGCATGTGTCTGTGTGTACCATAAAAATATTAGGGAAATCATTATCACAAAAGACAAGATAATAGATTTCTCTCTGGGGAAAGACTCCTTGAACAGCACTCTTTGTGGAGAGCACGTGGGCAAACCCAGAATTTTCCTGGTAAACAGATCCTCAGTCTGCCATTCAGACTGGAGATACACATGTTCCCCACCTTAAAATCACTTGGTACAAATAATGTCTACACAGAAATAGCCTTGTCTCCCTCTCATTCGTATTCACAGCTTCTTCATGACCTCTGTCTTAATTTCAGTTATATTATAGGACTAAGTAGGCTTCTGTCTGCTCTTATAAGAACCAAATTATTATATATAGCATTGAAAATCAGTTTTTAGCTGGACAAAGTGGCTCATGCCTGTAATCCCAGCACCTTGGGAGGCCAAGGTGGGTGGATCACCTGAGGTCAGGAGTTTGAGACCAGTCTGACCAACATGGTGAAACCGGGTCTCTACTAAAATGCAAAATTAGCTGGATGTGGTGGTGGGCACCTGTAATCCTAGCTATACAGGAGGCTGAGGCAGGAGAATAGCTTGAACCACCTGGGAAGCGGAGGTTGCAGTGAGCCAAGATCCTGCCATTGCACTCCAGCCTGGGAAACAGTGAGACTCCATCTGAACAAAAAAAAAAAAAAAAAAAAGAAAGAAAGGAAGGAAGGAAGGGAAAGAAAAGAAAATCAGTTTTCAAACTCAGAGCTTCCTGGAGATGTGAATAGGTATGGGTTTGTGCACTGCACTGCAAAATCTACCTATAAGATTAAGTCCCTTTGCCATAAAACAAAGTGACAGTGACATTGCATGGAACGCTCTCAGGTGGAACACGAATAACATAATATAGACGTAGTCAGTCTTTTCTAACTTCTAATTAGTATACTACGTTAAGAGTATCAATGAAACCCCAACAAAAATACATGGCAAAAAAACACATATAATTTCCCAAAGTATTTCTGAGCCTTTTATAACAAATTAACTTGGCACAAAGATGAATAAAATGTTGTCTATAATAATGAACAGAACTGCATTCCACTATATCATGAAAAGTCAAACCACATGATTTCTCTTTTTCAATTTCTTGAGGCCTTTTTTTATTTCCTTGGGTCTTCCAAAATGACTAGTTGCTCCGTAGAAATGAACTCAAGGATTTGTTCACCAGACACCTTTGTTATGAAAGCCCTTTAAGATTCCAAAATACTCTTCCGCCATTTCCTTCTCCATCTTCCTTCAAAAAGCCTTCCTCTAATTAACTGATTACAGCTGAGCTTTATAACACTATCAGGAGAAATAAGTCACTCTTCTGTCTTTTACAAAAATGGACATGACAGATCATGTTTTCAATATTCTTTTGTTCACATACTTTACATTCTTTTGAATACCTCTCCGGTTGTTTCATGTATATCATCAAATCACGATTATGAGGCTCCAGGAAGGACTAATGTCAGTATCAACAGAAACATTTTACAACAGAAAGAGCAAGTTTTAGGCATTCAATATTTGCTAACCTAATGTTTACTGAAGTTTTCAACAAACTTTATGAAGTCTTCTCTTAGGAGACTTAAAGCCAAATACAATTAAACTAATGGAGCCACAGGAAACTCGGGGATCTTATTGAATTCAATAATAAAGATGCTTTTAAAAACATTTCATATAATTGCCGGTTTATACTTTTTAATAATTGTATAGCACAATTACAGAAATTTATTTTATAAAAATTAGTTACTGAAATTATTTGTTCATTTTGTAGTTAATTTATTTTTCCCATCCTACTTGGATAATATCCCTAGAGGTCAACACAAATTCTCTAGATGCTCCTATATTTTAACATAGTTTCAGTTGACCTTTGAAGAAGATTATATATTGTCTCTAAGATCTTTTTAAGTTGTAGAGAACTGAAAGCACACCCGGACTTTTAAGAGTAAACGTATAGTCATAGTTTTTACTACCTCATTTATTTTATAAAAAATAGTTACTGAAATTTATAAAAGTTAGTTACTGAAATTATTCATTTTGTAGTTAACTTATTTTTAGTTCATAAAAATTAGTTACTTAAATTATTTATTCATTTTGTAGTTAACTAATTTTTTCCATCCGACTCGGATAATATCCCTAGAAGTCAACTCAAATTCTCTAGATGCTCCTGTATTTTACCATAGATCCAGTTGACCTTTGAAGAAGATTATATATTGTCTCTAAGATCTTCCCTAAGTTGTAGAGAAATGAATGTACACCAGTCCTTTTAAAAGTAAACATTTTTAATGATAGTTGTCACTACCTCATTCCATGTCATAACAAAGGCAATTATGTTGACAATACAGTGGTAAAAGTCCCAGTTCCAGTATGAAAACACTTCCTCATTATTTCTACTTCAAAACTTTATAATTTTCTAAGATGTGATATCTCTGTTAATTAAGGTGATTTTCTTCTTTCTCTCATCAATACAAAAGCTTCTCACTTATTATTCATTATACCATTACTTTGTAGTCTAGCATCCAGCTGTGCCTGTACATTTTATATTCAAATGCTTCTTGTTTAAGAATAGCTTCTGATTGTCTTATTTCTCATATATCCAGTGTTATTTGCCATAGGTAGATAAAAACATCTGACTACCTCATTAGGTATTCAGGTATGGTTGTGCAAAGTCATTTTCATAATGAATAAATACTGATATATTTTTATTTATCTGTCATATTGTAGATAGACAATTACATTGATTCTTGAAAATTATGTATGTAGGTAGCTTTATTATCCGTAAATTTTATTTAAGGATAATAAAGGGGACATTACAAATTACGTTTCTTATTGGATTGGATCTAAGATAACATTGATTATGAGACACAACAAATTTTATGTTATAACATTTACAAAAACACACTGCAATTAAATTAGGACACAATGCCTTATCACCACTTGAAATTCTGGACACAACATCGTCTTCCAAGCCAGCAAGAGCATTAGTGATACAGCATTTCTGAAAGGCTGCTCCACTACTGACACCTCGATTTTCTTCCAAGAGCCAGCAATAATTTTGGCAGTTTCTTGGTCTTACTGGAGGTGTCCATGGAAGATTTTCAGGTAACAAACAGGAATACTTTTTTTTTTTTTTTTTTTGAGACAGAGTTTCGCTCTTGTTGCCCAGGCTGGAGTACAGAGGCACGATCTCAGCTCACTCCAACCTCTGCCTCCTGGGTTCAAGCAATTCTCCTGCCTCAACCTTCCGACTAGCTGGGATTACAGGCATCTACCACCATGCCCGGCTAATGTTTTGCATTTTTAGTAGAGACAGGGTTTCACCATATTGGTCAGGCTGGTCTCGAACTCCTGACCTCAGGTGATCCATCCACCTTGGCCTCCCAAAATGATGAGATTACAGGTGTGAGCCACTGCACTCTGCCAGGAACACATTTTTAATATGAGTTGAGACCCATACACATGTAGTTACCACAATCTACTGCACTTAAAGTTATGGCAGTATGAACTCCTTTGACTAGGTACAAACATGTACAGTCAATGACAACTGTGTCACACCAGCCAATGTTGACTGTGAGATGTCATCGATTGTGTAATTTTATTTTATGTTAAAATGTCAACCAATGAATTGTGGCATTGCATAAAGTGGGCCATGAAACTGATAAGTTTTTGAGCCACTGAGCTAATCGAATTCTTTTTATCCAACTCTTTCTTCAGTGAAACTTTTGCACGTATGAGTAACTGTTCAGAAAGTCTACAGACTACTTAATTTTGAACAGGTCATTCAGTTGGCAGCAGCAGACTACAGTTTACCAAATGCTACAGAAGGCCAGTGGATCTGTGCCTCCAGATTCAAACAAATTCTTCTGGGGACTTTTCTGACACATGGCTGGATGTGTCCCAAAATGTAGAAAGAAATCTTTTTTTCCCAAACCCGTCTACAAACTTTAATACAGTCATTGACTATATTGAGGTTTTCAGATTTAATGTCTACCAAATAACCTAGAATATTATGAAAATATTCTCCATGTCTTGAAGAACTTAGAAGTTCTCTTTCCTTTTATAAAAGAAAATCTGATGAAGGTAGAGATGATTTATTGCCTTGAGTCTAGCCAGTCTGATGAGGACCAGTCCCGAACCATTAATGTGTGAATAATATATTTCTCCTTCAACTGCTCTACCTTCTAAGGTGTCCACTAGAGGTTCCCGTAAGAAATACCCTTTCAGTTAAGATCCTTCCAGAAAGATAGACACAACAGGAAAAAAAAAAAAAGAAAGAAATTGTAAATCACTATTAAAATCAATGCCTACATAAACCACAGTAAACCAGCTTTTCTTTTTGTCTTATTTTATTTTTATTGTTTTAGAGACAGGTTCTCACCGAGACTGAAGTCATGACTCACTACAGCCTTAACTTCCTGGACTCAATCAATTCTCCCACCTTAGCCTCCCAAGTAGCTAGACTAGAGGGGCGTACCACCACACATGGCTACAATTTTATTTTTTATTTTTGTAGAGGCAGGGGTCTCGCTATGTTGCCCAGACTGGTCTTCAATTCCTGGCCTCAAGAAATCCTCCCTGCTTGGCCTACCAAAGTGCTGGGATTACAGCTAGGCATAAGCCACTGTGCTGGGACTCTGATGGGATTTTTACATGTTAATGTATAATTATTAAAGAAAAATAAAATGCTTTTCTTAACCACATTGCAGGTACAAAGAACAGCATCTCTGGAGAATGACTGTTAGGGTTTAGATATTATATTGCTGCCTTTTTTTCTTATTATGATAAATATCTGTTTACAAGCATTTTAATATTTATCAAATTACTTTTTTCAAGACATATTTCTTAAAATGGAAATCTTCCGTGGCCGGGCGCAGTGGCTCATGCCTGTAATCCCAGCACTTTGGGAGGCCGAGGGGGGTGGATCACGAGGTTAGGAGATCAAGATCATCCTGGCTAACACGGTGAAACCCCATCTCTACTAAAAATACAAAAAATTAGCCGGGCGTGGTCGTGGGCACCTGTAGTCCCAGCTACTCGGGAGGCTGAGGCGGGAGAATGGCGTGAACCCGGGAGGCGGAGCTTGCAGTGAGCCGAGATCGCGCCACTGCACTCCAGCCCGGGCGACAGAGCGAGACTCCATATTAAAAAACAAAAACAAAAACAAAAAAAAGGAAATCTTCCCCTTCCTATGTTTTTTTACATAAAGTGCTAAATTCATTTCTAGAATGTTTGCCATTTTTTTACTTCCCTGACCAGTAGTGAGACTTTGTTTCTTATGCTGACCAGAATATTAGTATAGATATAAAAAGAATGATTTGCCCAAGCTGATGGGCCAAAATAGTAGTATATCTTTTTTTTTTTTTTTTTCTGAGAGGGAGTCTCGCTCTGTCGCCCAGGCTGGAGTGCAGTGGCGCGGTCTCGGCTCACTGCAAGCTCCGCCTCCCGGGTTCACGCCATTCTCCCGCCTCAGCCTCCCGAGTAGCTGGGACTACAGGCGCGCGCCACCACGCCTGGCTAATTTTTGTATTTTTAGTAGAGACGGGGTTTCACGTGTTAGCCAGGATGGTCTCTATCTCCTGACCTCGTGATCCGCCCGCCTCGGCCTCCAAAAGTGCTGGGATTACAGGCGTGAGCCACTGTGCCTGGCCAGTAGTATACCATTTTAATGTATATTATTTTAATTACTAGGGATGTGAACATTTTTATAGTGTTCTTGTCACCTGAAGTATTGTTTTGTGAATTTATGTTATTTGCATGCTTCCACGTGGTCATATTTGATATGCAATCCCTCATTTACTTACATTAATGTTTTAACTAGTATTTCTAGTCAGATGTCATTAAAACCACCAACAGAAGGGTTAATATATAAGCAGATTGAAATATACATATTGTAAAAGAGAAATAAAAATGATGTAAATGACTAGCAAGAACTCTCAAAAGAACCATCTGAAAACCTATTAGTCACGGTCTAAGTCAGCTCAGTACATGGCCAATTATAAAATAAATGCACAAAAGTCAATGCTGTCCTAGCAAATATATCCAGCAGATAAAATATGTTGGTCTTAGCAAACATAAGCAGTAGATAAACTATTACATTTGAAATAACAAATATTTAAACACTTGGCTCCTATACATTTGTTATTTATTTCCATTAGAAGAAAACAATCAGGTTCTACTATTCGACTGAAGATAGGAAAAAAAAAACAGTTTTAAAAATAAAAAGACAGGCCGGGCAACATAGCTAGAGCCCATCTCTAAAAAGGGAAAAAGGAAAACTTAGCTAGGCTTGGTAGCACACACACCAGTAGTCCCAGGTACTCGGGTGGCTGAAGTGGAAGGATTACAATTGGTTGAGACCAGGATTCAAAGGTACAGTGACCTTAGGTGGCACCACTGCACTCCAGCCCAGCCTGGGCAACAGAGCAAGACACTGTCTCAGAAAAAAAAGTTTATATATATATAGCACCCATTTCCCAATGAGGGAACTCAAAATTGATTTGTGGGGCACTACCATCATAAAATTAAAGAGGAAATATTTTACAAATTTTAAAAAACATAGCATAGTAAATTTGGAAAAATGAAAAATGGAGTAGACCTAGAAAATGCTTGAAAAAGATCAACAAATAGAAAAGGTGAGAGCTAGGGGATGAGATTACCCCTACAAAATACTGAAATTGAGTATAATTGATTCAGTCAACAAATGTGTGTTGGATCCCCTTGTGCCAGACCCTGTTCTGGACAATTATGATGTATCAGTGAACAACACAAACAGCCCTGCACTCATGGAGCTTACAGTCTAGCGATAGACAAAATAACATGCTAATTACACTAGAATGGACACAAAAAGGGAGCAGAGCAGAACGTGCAGAAACAGAAGTAGTGAGAGACTGGGGTTTGTGGCAGTCCATGATAACCAGCTCTTTCCTCCTTACTAAGTGTCCCTCCTGCCCTCCTGAGGATCTAAGTTCATTCCAGTTCCCAACCATGCATCACCAACAGATCAAAAACGAACAAGCAGAAAAACAGTAACAACAGGGATGACAAGAAAACACTATAATCTACTATTGATTACTGTGGATTTGTTAGCTGGATTTATGGATTACCTGTAAACTGAATGTAGTTATAACTGCATTCTCGCCCCAGCAACCTGGTTAATTGGGAATTAGCTAAGTGCTACAAAAGAGGTTATTTTGCAATAATTAAGGGTGCTTATTCAGTCTTCAATTTTGGTCTGATATTGTAACAGCTTACTTTAAATTGTGTTATTCAAATATTGCAAATAAGAAAAAATTTGTATCCACTTTATACCATTCCCTACCTGTCTGTTGCCCGTAAAATTCAGCTTTATGAAGAAGAAAACCCACCAGTCTTTTTTTGGGAGGTCTATTAATAATGGACCACTAGATCTTTTCAGACTCCTACAGCATATCATTAAAAATCCAATGTTCCATCAATTACAGATGGCGATTTTTATGAGCTTCACTGCAATTTAACTCTGCAGGTGTTTAAGATTTAAAATGAAAGTCATAAGCCATATCTTCACCTGAAATTAAGCCATTTGATCACAATATGTCATCCAAAACTGATTCTTCTAAAACAAGAAGAACTAAAACATTCAGGACTATCAAATGTCTACCTTTCAAACAATTTAATTCTTTGCAATGATATAAATTATTCTAGGCATAATGCTAACTAAATATTAATGGACAAGGCTGAATAAACTAAAAGTTAAAAAATAACATTCTTTATCTTTTTAACTATCATGTGATTCCAAATTCAAGAACTCCATCTTCTACAATTAAATTTATGCTAAGCATAGCAAATACATATTTTTGTTTTCAGATTGATGAATTAGGGTTTGCAGAACAGGATAGATTACATGAGGGCAATGTTCTTTGCAAAATGCTGCTTGCACATTTATTATGTTTGTTGATGAACTTTAATTTTAAATGCCACGTTAGATGTACAACAAGAAATGGAAAGCTCCATTTAATTTACTTAGCACTAATTGTATTATCTTATATTCTTTTAAATTCCAAGCTAAATGGCAAACCAAGATGTATAGGGTAACTACTGTGTTCCAGGTATAGCATTAGGGGCTAACACACACATTATGGATTCTTTCCCTTTGTAAATATGACCATGTTGCCACATGTAGCTATGCAGTATTCTAATGTATGAAAAATACTACAGTACATTTGTCCTGTCTACTTCGATAAACATCAACATTGTTTCCAACTTGGGGCTCTTATAACAATGTTGCTGTGAATATTCTATCCACTTCTCTTGGTGCTTATGTGTGCAGTTGGCAGTGAAATTACTGGAAGGTAGGGTATGGACATACTCAGTTTTAGTCAATAGTGACAGTTTTCAAAATAACTGTATGAATTACTCTCTGATCATCAGCACATGTAAGTTTTAATTGTCATTTTAAAAGGGTTTGGGTAGTAAAAGGTGACAAACATTTTTCAACTTCCATATCTTTACATCTAATATAGATTTTATGACATGCCCAAAGTTACAGGTGGCTATGGCAAAAAAAAAAAAAAAAAAAAAAAGCTTATCTGTCAGAAACACCTGAATGTACCTTTACACTGTGATATGCTTTGGCTCTGTGTCCCCACCCAAATCTCACCTTGAGTTGTAATCCCCATAATTGTGTCAAGGGTGAGACCAGGTGGAGGTAATTGAATTATGGGTGTGGTTCCCCCCAGGCTGTTCTTGTGATAATGAGTGAGGCTCATGAGATCTGATGTTTGTAAGTGTCTGATATTTCCCCTACTTGCTCTCATTCTGTCTCCTGCTGCCCAAGGAAGAGGTGTCTTCCGCCATAATTGTAAGTTTCCTGGGACCTCCCCAGCCATGTGGAACTGTGAGTCAATTAAACTTCTTTTCTTTATAAATTGCTCAGTTTCGGGTATTTCTTCATAGCAGCGTGAGAACAGACTAATACACACTATTTCTTGCTTTGTGTCTGTGGACATGTCTAATATGCTCTGCATACTACACTTTACACTGGCTTTGTAAAGGTCTCGTCAGTTTCCCTGCTTCTCCTTGTTCAGTGAAGTTTAATTTCACAAAGTAAAGATAAACCATCCCTTAACTCTCAGCACATCACCTGCAGGCCACATTCTGCATTTCAGCAACTACCTCAGAGCCAGGCAGCAGAGTGGTGGTCTATACAAGTATCGCACATGGCGTTAAAGAACCCAGGCTGCAGCGGTCTCAGCTCTCTTGTCCAGTTGGTTTTCCTCTGTTCCATGTCTATGGACCTTGACTGGAACCTGGGTAACCATAGAGTAAGACTAGTAACAACACAGAGCGGAGAGATGCATAGGGCCAGAGGTGAATCTATCTCCATTCTTGAGAAAACACTCACACCGCTAATGGTACACATAAACAGCTCCATTTTTATACCGGCAGGACAGCATCCTAGAGAGATATTAACACTTTTTTTCTTACCCTTCTTTCCTCACTCCTTCTCCAGCACATCTGTACTTGAAAAGCCAGCACTGAATAACTATCATTTAGAACTATTTTGTTGAAAATAATAGAAAACACAACCTACACAGAAAGGGCCCACACGCTAAGGGGGTTTGAGCTCACATAACTGCTTAAGTCTCACCCCACCAGTGCATTCCTTCATGTTTTGTTCAAGGCCACTGCTCTCTTTCTCTGTGATGCTCTTGGTTCTGCCTGCCTCTAGTTGACAGCTTTGTCTTCACAGTGCCACGGTTCGCTTCCTTCATGGGAACTAAATGGATTCTGTTATTCTAGGCTTCCCACCTGCCCACCACAATATACAGAAGGAGAGAGAGCAGAAGGATGAGAGGAAAAGTCCTGTCATCTAAGATCTTTGGGCTATGCCTAAACCATAACATTGGGATTGTCAAGGACTGATTGGCTTAACTAGACCTGATCCCTTTGGTGTGATTAGGATATTATCAACTGAGAGGAATCATGGTCTCCCCAAAAGATGGGGCTGGGGTTAAACCCTCCCAAACAGCATGATGCCCATAAATGAGTGCACAGATGTTGAAGAGAAAACCATGGTGTCTACCACAGTGATCCTGATTGTTCCTTGTAGATTGAATAGTCAATATTAAATGTCAGGCGTGTGTGTGTGTGTGTGTGTGTGTGTGTGTGTGTGTGTGTGTGTGTATTCTCTGGGCGAAAGGGCCAAAACTTTTATCAGATTATGATAGAAGTTTATAAATTTAAAATAGTTAATAATTACTGCTTTATGACTTGATTAAAAACAGTAACAACATCTCATAAATTAAGCTAACATTCAAATATCTTTAAGATGACTGAATTCGTTTATTTTCATCAAGTGTCATCTTTTTCTATATAAAGGAATGATACACTGTGATTCTGAGGCAAGTTCATAGGAGTGGTTAATCTAACCCTGCTATCAATCTTTCACGGTACCCTCAAATTGTTTCCCATCACCAATCACCATCCATCTCATCAATATAAAGGGTGACTCCTATGAGGACAGCAGAATAAGGGGGAGCCAATCTACCCTCCCTCTCTCCTAAGATGAGCAGAAAAGCTTTCACAGGGAAAACTATTCTCCTATGCCTGACATCTCTCACATGGACCGATCTGGAAAGAAGAGAACAGAGTGTAAGTAGTGTGCCTGTTCCTACAGAAGAACCACAACCAGCTGTTCCTTACGGGGCCCAGCCAGATAAAAAGCAAGTTAGTGCAGCTCTCACAAGAATATCTTCTATTGCTAATCACATATTACTGCCCAATGCTGCAACTGCTCTGCATAACAACTTCCCTTGCAGTCCTGGGGAATTTTGATCTCGGATTAGTGAAGAATTGAAGCAAATTTCAGGGCTATTTCTCATCTCCGACTGAAACTTGGTGAAACGAAGGCAATAGGAGGTCAGTCCAGAGCTGGTGGAAGAGCTCAGTCTGCACAGGCAAGGTGAGAAAGGGGCCCAGAAGTCATCTTTATGCTTCATTATGGTGACGTGCATAGATAATTCATTAATCTGCATTAAAAACTCTCTCTTCTAAAACAATTTAGAGAATACACCTAAGTGACTAAAACGGTCCAGTCCTCATCAATGCCTCCCTGACAAATGTTTCAAGAAGTAATTATAATAAATATGTCAGGGAAATTTATCACGGCAAACACATCCATTTTTTAAAAAAATTCATTCTTTAGCAGTTTGAAATGATATTTATTGATTTTTCTCCAAACAGAAAGTTACAAGGAGACACCAGGTTGTGATCCATCCCATGAGAAAACATTCTTATTGAAGGCCCACATGTTTGTGTTATAATCCAAATGGGAACTTGGAGGACCAGAAGGTAGAATTAATCAGGATAAAAAACACGTTCTGGCCACTGTAACATTTCCTTCTGGACTAACTCCCAATCCAGATCCTCTCTCCTTTCTTCTTACCAGCAGCCCACAGTGAAATTACTCCTCATTTTTCAACCCCCATATGCTCAGGGTTATTTACTTCTATTTTCCCCAAGGCCAATCCTCTCGCCAATCACAATACTTATCCCATCATTGTGTGTGTTAGAGCTTTGCCCAAGTACGTTCTTCAGATCCCAAAGTCCAAGGATATTAATAGGTGTACAATAAATACTTGTTTAATAAATAAATGCCAAGTATGTGCTGTGAATTGTGTTTGTGTACCTGGCACCAACTTTACACTGCTTTCATAAAGTTGATATCAAGAGGCTATTTAAAAACAAAAAAAAGGACTCATAGCTAAATAATTCTGGGAACCATTCGATTTGTTTTTTAAAAAAAAGGTCAGTAGAGAAGCCTTTCTCAAACTATTTACAGGCATTGTACTTTATGTACTGCTGATTTCAAGAAGATTGAATAACCATGGAATCATTTCTCTATTTGAAGGAGTTATACCATGAGAATACTCTACAGGAACACAATATGAGCAATGCTGCTTTCTTGGTTTGCAAGACACTGTTCTCTTTTTTTGATTCTCTGCTTACTTCTCTGAACATTCATTGTTTCCATAAACACACCTTCTTTTGCTTGCTATTTCTTTAAATTATAACCAATTTTATGCTTGTCTTCTTATATATACTCTTCTCTGTACTCCTCCAAGCACCTGTGTTTTTTAACTCTTTGAAATAACTTTAGACATTACCCCAACTGGCATTGGGGTAAACAAATTAATTATATTTGTAAAAATGTTACAAATATAGGAGATAATTCATACATATCATTCATGTATCTTCTCTACCATTGACATCTTGTACAATCACAGCAGTTATCAAAGCCAAGAAATTAATGTTGCTCCAACAGTACTAACTAAAGAATTTATTTGGATTTTCCCAGCTGTTTCACTAATGTTCTTTTTCTGTTCTGGAATCCAACCCCCAGGGCCTACATTACATTTAGTAATCACGTCTTCTTCATCTCCTCTGATCTCTGATAGTTCCTCAGTCTTCCATGACCTAGATACTTTTGAAGAGTCCTGGTCAGTTATTTTGCCGAACGTCCCTTAGTTTGGGGTTGTCTGATGTTATCTCCTGACCAGATTTATTTATGTGGTTTTGGCCAGAATAACATAGAATCCATGTGCATTGTATCAGGAGGTATAAGATGTGGATGTATCTTAGTACTGACGAGTTTTACCTTGATCCCTTGGTTAAGGTGCTATCTGCCAGGTTTCTCCACTGGAAAGTTATTATCTTTCCTTAAGTAATTAATAAATAACCTGGGGGAGATCTTTTAGAATATGCAAATCTCTTATTTCTCCTTGAACTTTTGCTCGCCAATTTTAGCATTAAGGGTGGATCCTGCTTGCAACAAATATAATTGAGTGTTCTAATTTTTTGGTTTGTTTCTGTTTTGCCTTTTCTTACTGATTATCTGACACCACAAGATACTTCATGCTTATCTTGAATTTTCTCTGCCCCAGTTCTGAACTCCACCACTTCCCCAAGGTACCCTAGTTCCTTCTATTGGAAAATGATATTTAAAATGTAAGATCTGATCTTTGTCTCTGTAGTTTCGTTCTTTCCAGAACATTATATAAATGAAATAATAGAGTTTATAGCTTTTTGATTGTGGCTTTTTTCACTTAGCATATTTTTTCTGAGATTCATCCATTTTGCTTCATGCATCAGAAATTCATTTCTTTTTGTAGCTGAGTAGTGTTCCACTGCATGAAAGTAACAATTTGTTCATCCGCTCACCTGTAGGTGAAGACTTCAGTTGTTTCATTTGGAATGACTATGAATAAAGTTGCTGTAAACAGTTGCATACAGGCCTGGTGTGTGCACAGTCTGTAGTTCTCTTGAGTAAATACTCAGGAATAGAATTACTGGGTCTATGGTAAAGGAATGTCTAACTTTACAAGAAACTGACAAACTGTTTTCCAAAGTAGCTGCTCCGTTTCACATTTCCACCAGCACTGTATGAGACTTCCAATTGCCCCCATACTGGCCTCACTTAGTTTTGGAAGTGAGGGGAGGGGATTGGTAACAAAAGAGCACAAGGGTATATTTTGAGGTGGTGAAACTATTCTTTCTCTTGATTATCATGGTGCTGATGGAATTGTAGACATGGTTGAGTATCATAAAACTGTACACTAAAATGGGTATATTTTACTCTATACAAATTATACCTAAATAAACCTGAACTCATTCCCCCCAAAATACAAGATCTGAGTAAGAGGTACATTCATTGTTGTGGGGTGTCATTGTTTCTAAGCCCTCTCCAGGGACAGAACTCAAAAATATGTGTATGCATAACAACTATACACACAAATTTAGATTTATTTTTGTACCCATCTCTGCATATATATGTATATATTTGTAATGCCCACATGCTTTTTAAAACATGAGTTCACACGGATACCACCAAGCTCCCTCCAACACCCCAGGGTTTATTCTAGCCTTCCCTCTTTATATGTAGATTCTTTCTCTTACAATGAAAAGCTCAGTTCTCATTATCTACAATGCATTTACTAATGTATTCAACCCTAAATATATACATATAAAGTAGCTTCAGAATTGCTAACATATAACCTTATTAGAAATAAATTTACTAGAGTTTAACATTTTGCTCTATTCTTTTTGCCTTTGGGCTTATAGTATCAAGTCAAAGTAATGCTTTTAAAGTAACTGGTTTGTTCCTGCCCCACATGTTGTGTGGTTGTGATACTCATCTATAATAGAGTTAGTTTCATTTGTTACAATTCGTATTCCATTTGAGTTCCCCAAATATCTTGTGTGTGCACGTTAAGTTACATAGATTAAAACTCACCCTCATGTTGTACAATTTCGTATATTTTGACAAATGGATAAAATCACGTATTAACTACCAAGATTTTAATACAGAATGATTTCATCACCCCAGAAATTCCTTTGTGGTATCCTTTTGCAATCAGCCCCTCCCACCTAATTCTAACCTCTGGCAGCTACTAACTTGATCTGTACCTCTGTAAGTATGCCTGTTACAGAATGTCTTATAAGTGGCATTATTTGGTATTAGTCCCTTGAGTTTTGGCTTCTTTGACGTAGCAAAATGCATTTAAGATTTATTCACATTGTTGCATAGATCAATACTTCCTTTCTTTTTATCAGTGAGTAGTACTCAATTGTACGGATATACCACACTTATTTATCAATTTACCAGTTGAAAGTTACCTAAGTAGTTTCCAGCTTTTGATGCTTACAAATGAACCTGCTATAAATGTTCCTGTACAGGTTTTTATGTGAGCACACCTTTTCATTTCTCTTGAGTAAATACCCAGGGACGAGATGCCTGGACCATGTGGGAGATACATGTTTAACATTATCAGAAAGTTCTCACTTTCCCATGGGAGATGAAACATTTTGCATTACCACAAGTAAAGAAATCCAGTTGCTCTGTGACGTTGCTTGAACTTTGTGTGGTCAGCTTGTTGTTTTGTTGTTGTTCTTTAGCTATTCTAATAATACTCATAGAGTGGTATTTCATTGTGGTTGGAAGTTTTGCATTTCCATAATGACTAATGATATTGAGAATCTTTGCATGTGTTTGTTTTGCATCCACACATCTGTAGTTAAGTTTCTGTTTACATCTGTTTCCTCATTGTTGACTGGGTTGGTCATTTTCTTACTGTTAGGATTTAAGAGCTCATTACATGTCTAGAGTCCTTTGTCAGAAATGTAATTTGCAAATACTCTTTACCAGCCTGTGGCTGTCTTTGTATTCTTTCAACAATTTTAAAATTATAACAAAGTCCAGTTAGTGATTCTTTCCTTTTATGAATATTGCTTTTGATGTTGTATCTAAGTCTCAATGTCACACAAATATTTTCCCAATTTTTTAAAGAAATTTTCATAGATTAAATTTACACGTGAGTCTATAATTTTTAATTAGTATTTCTATGGGTGGGCATTTATTTTTCATACGCATGTCCCGTCTTCCCAGCACCATTTGTTGGAAAGACTGCCTTTCCTCTGTAAAATTACTTTGCATCTTTGCAACAAGTCAGTTGGTTATATTTATGTGAGTCTATTTCTGGACTCTAATCTGTTTAATTGAACTGTATATCTATCTGTATTAGTCTGTTCTCATGCTGCTAACAAAGACATACCCAGGACTGGGTAATTTATAAAGAATAGAGGTTTAATTGACTCCCAGTTCAGCACAGCTGGGGAGGCCTCAGGAAACTTACAATCATGGTGGAAGGGGAAGCAAACACGTCCTTCTTCATGTGACGGCAGCAAGGAAACGTGCCAAGCAAAGGGGGAAAAGCCCCATATAAAACCATCACGCCTCAGGAGGACTCATTCACTATCACGGGGACAGCATGGAAGTGACTGCCCCCATGATTCAATTACCTCCCACCAGGTCCCTCCCACCACACTTGGGGATTACAGGAACTATAATTCAAGATGAGATTTGGGTGTGGACACAGCCAGACCATATCACTATCCTTTGGCAATACCACACCGTGTTGATTGCTGTGGTTATAAAATACATCTTGAAATCAAGTATGAGTATCCCCATTATGTTATTTCCTTTCCAATTTTGTGGGTAGCTATTTTAGTTCCTTGGCCTTGCACATTTTATAATGAACTTGTCAGTATCTGTAAAAATCACTTTGAGATTTCAATTCAGATTGCATTGAACAAACATATAATGTTGGGGATAATTGACATCTTACCGATATTAGATCTCCCAAACAAAGAAAACAGTATATTCCCCCAATGATTTAGCTTTTTGTTAAATTTCTTTAATCAGTTTTATACATTTCAGCATACATACAGATCCTGTAAATATTTTTTAGATTTAGTCCAAAGTGTTTCATTTTTATGCTATTTTGAATGGTAATTTTTAAACTTTGAATTAACATATGCACTGCTAGAACATAGAAAAACAATTAATTTTTGTGTTTTGACCTTGAATCTTGTGACCTTGCTAAACTCACTAATTAGTTCTAGAACATGTTTTGTGGATTTCTCGGGTTTTGCCATGTAGAAAGTTATTTTGTCTGCAGATAGAGGCAGTTTTATTTCTTATGTTCAAATTTTGAGGCCTTTATTTCTTTTCCTGACTTCTCTACCAACCTGTGGTAATAAGTAAATAAAATACTATTAATAAATAATTTTCGTAACTAGGACTTCTAGTATGATGCTAAACAGGAGTGGATCTTTTGGATTAACCACTCAGTTTTCACCATTAAGAATTATGTTAGCTGTAACTTGTTTATAGAAACCCTTCATCAAGTTAAATAAGTTCCACTCTATTCCTACCATACTGAGAATTGTCTATCACGAGTGGATATTATAATTTATTTTCAAATTCAATTTTTGTGTCTATTGCAATAATCATATAGTTTTCTTGTTTGCTCTACTAATGTGAATCACACTGATTGATTTCCAAATACTGAACAAGCCTTGCATGCTTGGAACAAACTTGACTTGGTTGTGATGTGTTACTCTTTTTATATATTGCTGGATTGTATTTGCTAGTATTTTATTGAGAATATGTGTGTGTTTGTTCATGAGGGATATTGGTTTTTAGTTCTCTTTTAATCTTTTGCCTGTTTCTGGTATTACATTAGTGATGGCCTCATTAATTGAGTTGAGAAGTGTTCTATCTTCTCTGCTTTTTAGAATATGTTGAATAACATTTTATTACTTTTTTTTTTCCAAGACAGGGTCTTGCTCTGTTACCCAGAGCACTGCTGGAGTGCAGTGGTGCAATCATAGCTCACTGCAGCCTTGAACTCCTGGGCTCAAGAGATCCTCCTGGGCTCAAGGGATCCTAAGTAGCTACGATTGCAGGTGCATATCACCACGTCCAGTTAACTTAAAAATTTTTCATAGAAACGACGTCTCGCTCTGTTGCCCAGGCTGGTTTTGAACTCCTGGCCTCAAGTGATCCTCCCACCTCAGCCTCCCAAAGAGTCAGGATTATAGGCATGAGCCATCATACCTGGCCCCTATTTATTCCTTAAATACCGACAGAATTCCAAGTAAAACCCTCTGTTCCTGAAGTTTCCTTTTTGGAAGAATATTAACTATTCCTTCAATTTATTTAATTGATAACCTTAGGTCACATTTGGCAAGCTTCCAAATTACCCACGTGGTGATGGTCTTATGATTCATGGTGAACCTTTTGTCCTTGAATAAGGAATCCTCAAATTTTATTGTCAGTTCCTCACACGATTGACATATCGATTAACATGTAAACAACTGACACACAGACACTGCTGATTTGTTCTAGAATCATGAAGTTTTACTGATTGTCTTGCACACAGACATTTTAGCCTGTATGTTGCAATCTCTTGCCAATGATCTTAACCTCTGTATTGTACCTTCCGGTGAAAAGGACAACTCTGATATGAGGAGTCACCTTTCCTTCTCCCAAACTTCCTTATAAAAGCCTTCGGACTTGTAGCAGACTTTGGAACATACCCACTTTGCTGATGTGTCTTCCCCAGTCAATCCTCATATGTGGCTTCCAGTAAGCCTTTACTAAATTTTTTCTGCCTAAACAGCCTTAATTTCAGTCAACATAATTGGTACAAACATATTCTGCTTGCCTATTTCTTGAGTTATATTTGGCAGTTATGGCTTTTATAAGCTTATGGGCATAGAATTGTTCATTTAATTTCTCTTTTATATTTTAAATTTATGTCTTTTATTTTCTCTTGGTGAGTTCAGTTACAGGTTTATCAATTTTATTGGTCTTTAAAAATTACCAGTTTTCGGTTTAATTGATTTTCTCTATTGATTTTTTATTTTCTTTTTTTTTTTTTGTCTTTGTTGCCATCTTTATTATTTCTTTCCTTCTGCTTGCCTTGGGTAAAACTTGCTTTTCCTCTTGTTTCTTAAGAGGGAAGCTTAGATCATTGATTTAAGATCTTTCTTCTTTTCCAGCATAAGAATTTAGTTGTATAAATTTTCCTCTAAGCATGGCTTTGTTCATTACACAAATTCTGATATAGTTTATTTACACTTTGATGTAGTTCAAATTATTTTTAAATTCCTTGAAACTTTCTTTTTGACATGCAGGTTATTTAGAAACATGTTTAATTCCCAAGTATTTAGGAATTTTCTAGATACCTATTGGATATTAACTTCTAATTTAAATCCCTAGCAATTTGAGATCATATTTCATGTGCCTTCTGTTCTTTCAGATTTGGTGAGGTTTATTTTATGGCCCAGAATATAGTCTATCTTGGTGAATAATCCAGATGTTCTTGCATACTAACTTACAAATGTCATTAGGTAAATTGAGTTAACAGTAGTCTTTCCAAATTCTTACCAATATTATGCCTGCTTTAAAAAAATATATATATATATATAAAATACACATACACACACAGACACACACACACACACACACACACACACACACGAAAGAAAAGAGTTTCAGTCTGTAACCACAATTGAGGATTTGTCTTTTTTAAAAAAATTTTTGACTTCCTGTGGGTTTTTAAAATTTTTGGTTTTGTGTGTTCTGTCGTTAGGTGCACGCATACATAGTATTGTTACACCTCCCTGGAGAAATTCCTCCTTTATCATTATGCAATACCCCTATTTGCTTCTGATAATTTTTCTTGTTTCTTTTATATTAATATCATAGAAAAGTATTTTCTTTTATATATTATTATATAATATATAAAAGTCTTTTCTTTTCTATGATATTAATATAAAAGAAACAAGAAAAATTATCAGAGGCAAAAGTCTTTTATATCAGAGGCAAAAGTCTTGTATATGATATTAATATAACTACTCCAGCTTCTTTGTGTTAATGATTTTATTGTTTTTCTTTTAACCTATCTAAATCTTTATATTTAAGTTGGATTTCTCAAAAAGAGCTTATAGTTTTTTCTTTTTTAATCCAATCTGACCATCTTTGCCTTTTAATTTGTATGTATAAACCATTCACACTTAATATTACAGTTGATCTCTTTGGATTAAAATCTACCATCCTCCTAGCTCTTTTCAAGTTGTTCCATTTGTCTTTGTTTCTTTTTTCTTCTTTTTCTGATTTGTGCTTATTGTTTTCATTGTTTCATTTTATCTCTTTTATCAACCTATTACTTATGCCCATGTTTACACATTTTATTGGTGGTTGCCCTAAGGTTTACAATATGCATTATTAATTAATCAACATCTAACTTTAAATAACATTATTCTCCCAGCGGGACGTGGTGCCTCACACCTGTAATCCCAGCACTTTAGAAGGCCAAGGCAGGCAGATGACCTGAGGCCAGGAGTTCAAGACCAGCCTGGCCAACATGGTGAAACACCATCTGTATTAAAAATACAAAAATTAGCCGAGAGTGATGATGCGTGCCTGTAATCCCAGCTACTCAGGAGGCTGAGGCAGGAGAATTGTTTCAGTCCAGGAAGTGGAGGTTGCAGTGAGCCAAGATCGTGCCACTAGACTCCAGCCTGGGCAACAGAGTGAGACTCTGTTTCAAAATACATATATGTATATATATATATATGTATATATATATATATACTTTCTGTGAAGTGTAAGGATCACAACAATGTATGCTGTGAAGGAGGAACTGGGAACATACTGTTATAACATCCCTACACCATAGATACCTTTTAACCATGCTATAAATACACTATAGATCTAAAATTTTTGCTTTAAAAAATCAGTTATCTTTTGGAGCAATTAGGTATAAAAAACTAATTTTATTTTCCTTTATTTCTTTTTAAATATTCTTTGTTTCATTGTGTAGATATAAGTTTCTTTCTGGTACCATATTCCTTCTGCCTCAAGGAATTCTTTTAATATGGTTTTTCTCTTAAAATTTCTTGCTATGTAGGTCTATTGGCAATACATTTTCTCACTTTTTGTCTAACAAAGTCTTTATTTCTCCTTCATTTTTGAAAGATATTTTCCCTCTGTATAAAATTCTGTGTTGACTCTTTTCTTTCCAGCCTTTCAAAAAGATCACTTCAGGGGGGGCCAGGCGTGATAGCTCACGCCTGTAACCCCAGCACTTTGGGAGGCCGAGGCAGGTGGATCACTTCAGCTCAGGAGTTAGAGACCAGCCTGGCCAACATGGTGAAACCTTGTCTCTACTAAAAATACAAAAATTAGTCAGGCATGGTGGCACATGCCTGTAATAGCAGCTACTTGGGAGGCTGAGGCAGGAGAATCACTTGAACCTGGGAGGCAGAGGTTGCAGTGAGGCAAGATCGTGCCATTGCACTCCAGCCTGGGAGGCAGAGTGAGACTCTGTCTCAAAAAAAAATAATAATAATTTCATTTCACTTCATTGTCTTCTGTCTTGCATGATTTCTGACAAAAAGTCTGCTATAATTCTTATCTTTGTTCTCCTCTTGTGTCTTTCTTTTCCCTGTGGGTGCCTTTGGGACCTTCTCCTATTTTGTTCTTCAGCAATTGAACATGGTATGCTTGTGTGTCTGTGTACACAAATGCACTTATATTGGCATTTATTTATAGAGTATTCTTGAACTTCTCAGATCCATGGTCTGGTTTTTCTAATTAATTTTGGACCAATTAATTCTAATTAATTCTTAGCCAATATTTCTTCAAACATTTCTTCTCCTCAAATCTTTGTCATACTTTTGGGGTTTCAATAATGCCTATGTTAAGCCATTTTACATTGTACCATAACTCATGGATGCTCTGTTCCTTTTATTTTTGCTTTAGTTATATCTGGTTCATTTTGTAAAAATTCTATTAATCCATCTTTATATTTATTAATGGTTTTTAATCTACTGATGAACATGTCAAAAGTGTATTTTATCCACATTTATATTCATTTTTATTTTTAGCATTTCCATTGATTCCTGTCTTGAGTTGCTGCAATAGCCCATTTGATCCTACATGCTGTTCACCTTTTCCATTCATGCCTGTAACATAGTCATAGTTATTTTAAATTATCTGTTAGACAGGTCTGTGTCTAAGTGGTTCTTTTGATTGCTTTGTCTCTTGCCTTTCCATATTCCTCATCCTTATTTGTTGATAGCTGAACATCTCCTGCAGAATAGTAGAGAGTTAGGTAAACAGTTTTGCGCTTGGAAATTGGCTTTTTTTTCCTACTCCTTGGCCTTTCTTTGGAAGTTTGTTTTAATCTAGTTAGGTCTTGGGCTGGGTTTGGGATTCGTTGTTGTTTATTTATGTTGAGTGTACCACTGGCCTCAGATTTATCAGTACCTTGGGTTTAGGATATTCTTCTTTGTTCTTAGTTCTTCTTTGTCCTCGGCTTCAGCCAGGGACTATGTTCTTTGGTCTTGGGAGTGTGGCTTTGAGGAGTGCCCCTTCTCTGACTGCTGTGGTTCTGAGCCTAGAATATATTACTGCTGATTCTCTGGGATAGATGAGTTTTCCCATTTTCATACACCAGTTGCAATGAGTATTCATCTCGGCCTGAGGGTGACAGCTTTTGTTGTCTTTCCCACGGCAGATTAAGACTTTTTATTCCTTCATGGACACGGGGCAGTAGAGTCCAGGCTGAGTCCAGCATCTCCTCTGCAGAGGCTGGTTCTCCCCTCCCTCAGGCAGCACCTTTGAGAAAGTTTTCTCTGCACTCTTCCCAGGCTTCCCTGTGAATGCCTGGATTCACAAAGAAAAAGTCTTCAAGAGAATATGAACCCTGCCTTCTCCGCATAGAAGCAGCCCCCAGGGACTCCATTGTCCCTCACCAACCCACACTTGACCTCTACCAATTCACCTGTTATTCCAGCTGAGTCCTTCCTATTGACGTCTGACTTGATCTGAATCAACTAAGCAAGTGTGTTCAAACCCTATTTCAGCCTGTAGTCTTGTATCTCTTCTTAGATTTGGATTACTTGGTTGTCCTGCAATATCTTCTCTCTAGTGGATTTTAAAAAAGTGAGGAGCTCACACTTCTGGCTTTTTTTCTCCTGTTTTAAAGTTGGGTGTAACCCTCCAGCTCTTCCTGAGCAGAAACTGGAAAGTAACCTCACAGTTTAAGTTAATGCTTGTTAGTCGATGATTCCCAAGTTTAAATCTCCTAGAATTACCCCTTTCCAGAGCTAGAGACATTCATAGCCAGCTCCCTACTGAGTGTCTCTACTTGGTCCTATCACACGGATGATTACATTTTCCTCCAAACTATTCCTTTCTCTTTCTTCCCTATGTTAGTAAATCACACCATTATGTGTCCCAATTATGCTAGAATATTGAGTAACTTCCACTGGAAACACTACTGTTTAACATAGTCCCTCTCCCCTCTCCCCTCTCCCCTCTCCCCTCTCCCCACGGTCTCCCTCTCATGCGGAGCCGAAGCTGGACTGTACTGCTGCCATCTCGGCTCACTGCAACCTCCCTGCCTGATTCTCCTGCCTCAGCCTGCCGAGTGCCTGTGATTGCAGGCATGCGCCGCCACGCCTGACTGGTTTTGGTGGAGACGGGGTTTCGCTGTGTTGGCCGGGCCGGTCTCCAGCCCCTAACCGCGAGTGATCCGCCAGCCTTGGCCTCCCGAGGTGCCGGGATTGCAGACGGAGTCTGGTTCACTCAGTGCTCAATGGTGCCCAGGCTGGAGTGCAGTGGCGTGATCTCGGCTCACTACAACCTACACCTCCCAGCCGCCTGCCTTGGCCTCCCAAAGTGCCGAGATTGCAGCCTCTGCCCGGCCGCCACCCCGTCTGGGAAGTGAGGAGTGTCTCTGCCTGGCCGCCCATCGTCTGGGATGTGAGGAGCCTCTCTGCCTGGCTGCCCAGTCTGGAAAGTGAGGAGCGTCTGCGCCCGGCCGCCATCCCATCTAGGAAGTGAGGAGCGCCTCTTCCCAGCCGCCATCACATCTAGGAAGTGAGGAGCGTCTCTGCCCGGCCGCCCATCGTCTGAGATGTGGGGAGCGCCTCTGCCCCGCCGCCCCATCTGGGATGTGAGGAGCGCCTCTGCCCGGCCGAGACCCAGTCTGGGAGGTGAGGAGCGTCTCTGCCCGGCCGCCCCGTCTGAGAAGTGAGGAGATCCTCCGCCCGGCAGCCGCCCCGTCTGAGAAGTGAGGAGATCCTCCGCCCGGCAGCTGCCCCGTCTGAGAAGTGAGGAGCCTCTCCGCCCGGCAGCCACCCCATCTGGGAAGTGAGGAGCGTCTCCGCCCGGCAGCCACCCCGTCCGGGAGGGAGGTGGGGGGGGGTCAGCCCCCCGCCTGGCCAGCCGTGCCGTCCGGGAGGGAGGTGGGGGGGTCAGCCCCCCGCCCGGCCAGCCGCCCCGTCTGGGAGGTGAGGGGCGCCTCTGCCTGGCCGCCCCTGCTGGGAAGTGAGGAGCCCCTCTGCCCAGCCAGCCGCCCCGTCCGGGAGGGAGGTGGGGGGGTCAGCCCCCTGCCCGGCCAGCCGCCCCGTCCGGGAGGGAGGTGGGGGGGGTCAGCCCCCCTGCCCGGCCAGCCGCCCCGTCCGGGAGGTGAGGGGCGCCTCTGCCCGGCCGCCCCTACTGGGAAGTGAGGAGCCCCTCTGCCCGGCCGCCCCCCCGTCTGGGAGGTGTGCCCAACAGCTCATTGAGAACGGGCCAGGATGACAATGGCGGCTTTGTGGAATAGAAAGGCGGGAAAGGTGGGGAAAAGATTGAGAAATCGGATGGTTGCCGTGTCTGTGTAGAAAGAAGTAGACATGGGAGACTTTTCATTTTGTTCTGTACTAAGAAAAATTCCTCTGCCTTGGGATCCTGTTGATCTGTGACCTTACCCCCAACCCTGTGCTCTCTGAAACATGTGCTGTGTCCACTCAGGGTTAAATGGATTAAGGGCGGTGCAAGATGTGCTTTGTTAAACAGATGCTTGAAGGCAGCATGCTCGTTAAGAGTCATCACCAATCCCTAATCTCAAGTAATCAGGGACACAAACACTGCGGAAGGCCGCAGGGTCCTCTGCCTAGGAAAACCAGAGACCTTTGTTCACTTGTTTATCTGCTGACCTTCCCTCCACTATTGTCCCATGACCCTGCCAAATCCCCCTCTGTGAGAAACACCCAAGAATTATCAATAAAAAAATAAATTTAAAAAAAAAAAATAAATAAAAATAAAAAAAAATAAATAAAAAAAAATAAAACATTAATAGTACAAGAAAAGTAAAAAAAAAAAAATAAATGTCATACAATATTTTTATCAAAAAAAAAAAAAAAAAAAAAACATAGTACTGGAGGTCCTGACCAAGATTGTGTGAGGTAACAGATGTATTAATTAGCTTGATTGCTATTATTTCACAATGTATGCATATATCAAAATATCACCTTGTATACCTTAAATATACACAATATAAAGAACATAAGAAAAAATAAACAGGAACAACAAGGTACGGGAAGTAAGCTATAACTGTTATCATTTGTGGACACCATGATCTCATGTACAAAACCAGCAAAAACTCATAATTACAGCTAATGAGAAAGCTTTGAGATCAATGGGTACAAGACCGACCTATGAAAATCAATGATCTTTCAGCAAGTAAATCAGAGCCATAATTTCTAGGAAGACAATTCTACTGTATGGTACCATTCCGATAATGAAGAAGAACCTTATTTACTCAAAGGCCAATTTAACTGGTGACCAAATTGCTAAGTGGACATTTTGATTAATTTACCTCCTTTTCACTATTTACTATTCAGTTTGGTGTTAGAATTAACCTATTAGATTCATAGAATTGGGGTGTTAAGCCCAGGTCTGAATTTGTTGTTGTTAAAATTGTCTTTATTAAAATTAAGAGCTTTTAACCATCAAAAGTGACCATTAAGAGACTGAAAAAGTAGTCATAGGTGGTAAATACACTGCAATGCATATATCTGACAAAGAACTCTTTTCAAAATATATTTAAAAATCATTTTTTTTCAAAAGACAGATAACTGAGCTAAAAATAAAACAAGCAAAAGATTTGAAGACAATATACACGGCCAATAAGCATAAGTGTTTAATGTTCACTAGTCATCAAGAAAACGTAGATCAAAACCACACTGAGATACCTCCATAACCTCACTTGAAGCCCCACATCCAGAAGGGTGATAACATCAAGTGTTGAAGCCCTTATATAAACCAGCACAACTGCCTTGAAAAACTCTTTGGTAGTATAATACTAAAGCTGATCTCATGCCTACATATGAACGAACAGACATACAAAGGAACCTCGTGATCTTAGGCAAGTTACTTAATATCTCTGAGTTCTCCTTACAAATGCACTTCCTGAGATTACTGAGAGGGTTAAGTGAGATAAAATATTATATGTTTCTGGCATATGGTACCCTCTCCTTTAATCCATGGATAAACCTTTTCCTTTTTCTTTCCTAATTACCATCAAGAACTTCTTTTTCTTTTCCCAGGTTGCTGTACTTAACAATAGAAAATTAAAAATTCCCTTTCCACAGTAAATGTACATTATTTATTTTAAACTCTATCTTCATATTGTCTAGATGTTGGTTTATTGATCATGAACTAACTTTCTAGCTTATTCCCTCTGGGGATGAGAATTCTACACCTAGATTCAAATACTTTTTTGTCTGCAACCCTAGTTCCATTATCAATTTTCTAACAGTGAGCCTTCTATTTCAGATATTGAAATACTTTTCAAGTTCTTAAAAGACCTCATGCTTGTCTCAATTTTGACTCACCCCACATTCTTCACCACCCAGGTGCTGCCCCACCTGCCACAGGGCCACATCTGTTCCAGGTGTTCATTTTATAAGACACAACACAATAGATACATACAGAGCTCTCAACACAATACTGCTGCAAAGAAACTCCAATGTGGAATGATGCACATTTAAAAATGTGTGGCATTTGAGCTATTCTTGTCCAGAATGAGACATCAATGTTTCCCACAATATGTAATACACACATTTAAAAGTTTCTTACTTTTTTTAGGCTGGGCACAGTGGCTTATGGCTATAATCCCAGCACTTTGGGAGGCTGAGGAGGGTGGATCACCTGAGGTCAGGAGTTCAAGACCAGCCTGGCTAACACGGTGAAACCTTGTCTCTAGTAAAAATACAAAAAAAAAAAAAAATTAACCAGGTGTTATGGTAGGCACCTGTAATCCCAGCTACTCAGGAGGCTGAGGCAGGAGAATCACTTGAACCTGGGAGACAGAGGTTGCAGTGAGCCGAGATTGTACCACTGTACTCCAGTCTCAGTGACAAGAGTGAATCCAAAAAAAAAAAAAAAGTTTCTCACTTTTTTGAAAGTTGGGTAACACATAAGTTTTAGACTTGAATGTTCTGTCCTTATCATCAAAATTGCATTTATTGTAGCATTTTACACAATTTGTCTCTTAAAATAAGAGCTATAATGTAACTGGTAGAAGGAAAGTGCACATTTTTCTGCTCTTCTTGGTAAGTGGAAGCGTTTGCCTCACAGCATCACTTGGATAATCAAGGAGGAATTTCTGGGCTTCATACACCATTTACTTTTCACCCCCGACCTCCTTCTTTTCTAGCTAGTAAATGTCATAGTGACATTTCCTTGTTTGTAATAACACATCATTTAAAGACTAACTAGGTCATTCTGCCTTTTCCATCAATCTTTTTCTTGACTTTCCTCAACTTAGGGCCCCACAACCCACAACCCCGTAGAATGGTAACTCATAGCTCAGTCACTGATTTTTTCAAATTATTATGTGGCTTGTGACATGGATGGTGTACCTTAAAGAGAACAAGACGTTTCATTGATACAGAATCACTAAAATGTGTGAGCCAGGAAATATATTTCGGTTTTTGCTTGTTTTTTTAAAAAACTTTTATTGTTTTTATAATGATACAGATTGTAGCTTTTTTTACTGTTACTATTTGATTCTGGCGAGTTTGCCTCTATTACCCTAAAGTCAGGGATGAGAAACTCAGCATGTGTGAATATTATTGAATTTATTATTTTGAATTTTAGTAAGTAAATGTCATTCAGCAATATAAATTTGCTAGATTAAAAAAAACTCATGGATTCTTTATAGAGTCACTCTTGTATCTTCACTGTCAAAGCTCTGCAGCATCATCATTAATAAACATTTATTGAGCATGTTTAATGGCAAGGTTCTATTGTTTGTTCCAGAAAGGAAAATACAGGCACACATAAAAACTTAGTTCCCAACTTTTTAATGATATAGCTGAGTAGATAAGATAAACATAAAATATATTTAGAAATAGAACATTGGTATTGGCTAGACCTCTGGAGACTACTTAATACAACAACTCAATGCAAGTGGCTAAAGTTTGGAGATGATAAAGCTTGTTAATGGCCACATAGCAAAAGTAGATAGCACAGCTGACAATGGGAACCTCATTCTCTTTGTTCCTATTTCAAGTCTCCTTTCCAAATGAATGGCACCAAAATGTCTAACCCCAGTTCAAAGAAATGAGAGGCTGTTATGTGCAAACTACCACTAAGACCGTTTTCACGAAATGAAAGGCTTCTACTGATTTGTCAATCATAAATGACAAAATTATTTAGTACGTTACATATGACTCAGCAAAAGAAGTGGAGCCTTACCACTCAAAATGTGGTCATAGGACCAGCAGCATCAGCATCATTTCGGAGCTTTCTAAGAAATGCAGAATCTTGGGCTCCACCCTAGACCTACTCAATCAGAATCCACATTTTAACAAGCACACCAAGATGGTGTGTGTGGACACTGATGTTTGAGAAGAAGCATTGCAACAGGGGGAGGATTTTATTGTGAAAAGGATAAGTCATTCAAGGGTTCCCTCTTTCCATAAGCATGAGCACACAAGCAATTGCAGTACGGTGTGTAAAGAAAATGAGATTTTTCCACTTTGGTGAGGCGACTTGTGTTTTTTAGGTAAAATAAAGTATCAAGTAAGAAGCTGTGTCCTCCACTGCTCTGCTGAAACCTCAACTCTGCCGTGAATCCTTTTAAAATCACATAAACCAAAATACATCCTCCTGATACACCCCCTGAATGTAGATAGCACTGACAATTTACATACATCATCAACTACCTAGGTGTTTTTTTCTGTTTTTTTTGTTTTTTTACATGAAGTTTTGCTCTTCTTGCCCAGGCTGGAGTGCAGTGGCATGATCTCGGCTCACTGCAACCTCCACCTCCCTGGTTCAAGGGATTCTCCTGCCTCAGCCTTCCAAGTAGTGGGGATTACAGGTGCCCGCCACCACGCCTGGCTAATTTTTTGTATTTTTAGTAGAGACGGGGTTTCACCATATTGGCCAGGCTGGTCTCGAACTCTTGACCTCAGGTGATCCACCTGCCTTGGCCTCCCAAAGTGCTGGGATTGCAGGCATGAGCCACCACACCACACCCGGCCCGGGCACCAAAAGTTAAAAGCTGTAAAAATGGTTGCCAAGTGTCCCTGCAGCCCAAGGTGACCTGTTACATTATTTAAAAAATAATAAAGGGTATGAAATTGGTTAGCGCACATTTACAATAATCCACAGGAAACCTCCAAATAGAGAGTGAGTGGAATTATCTGGCACCCTCATCTTTTGGGTGGAGGAAGAAGGGACTAAGGGCTGTGCAACTGGGTCAGGAAAAGGAAAGTACAGGTTTCCTCTCAGCACAAGCCAAAGGAGAAGGTGTCACAGAGCCATTCGGTGTCACAGAGCCTGAAACGGGTGCTTTGGAGAACAGAGAGTCCTTCAAGCATAAGCAATGCTACCTAGATCCCACCTGGAAAAATCTCAGGCAGCCCCATGTGAAGAGAGGGGACTGTATTGGAAGCAAGCTGTGTCGGTTCTGGTGATGGTGGGAAAATGTGGGTGTTTCTCATAAGCCAGAAGTGAACTACATGGGGGAATCCCAAGAGCCATTTTGTAAGGAACTCCACCCAATAGAGCCAAAGGACCAGAAGAGGGTAAAGACAGGAAGTGTGAGGATGTGTGAAGGCATCACAGTGAGAGAAAAGGCTAAAAGCCATCTTCCAACATTCTATGTGAGGGTCTCCAAAGAAGCTCTCCAAAAGCTCCCCATGAGAAAAAGTGCGGCTTTGTGTATTTGTCACATCCAGAGAGACCCATCACCAGATGAGATCCATAACCACCATGTGATGCTGTATCCTTTCTCTCATCTCTCCTCCCCCTGAACCCAACCTTGGAGAAGTGAGAAATTAAGACTGGTGAGTGCAGAGGAGGAGCAAGGAACATGCCAGGGAGGATTGACGAGTGCAGAGGAGGAGCAAGGAACAGGCCAGGGAGGACCAGCGAGTGCAGAGGAGGAGCGAGGAACAGGCCAGGGAGGACCAGCGAGTGCAGAGGAGGAGCGAGGAACAGGCCAGGGAGGACTGGCGAGTGCAGAGGAGGAGCGAGGAACATGCCAAGGAGGACTGGAGAGTGCAGAGGAGGAGCAAGGAACATAGCAGGAAGGGGGCCAAGAGAAGGGCCTCCTGTCTTCCCTTCCCCAGTGCAGGTTTCCAGACCCACAGCCGCTCAAGCTCACAGAGAGGAAAAGTTTCTCTCTGAATGAATCCTGAAGCTAATAATGTTATATTAGACTAGGCCGGGCATTTTAATTTTGTAAATGATACTATTTGTGATGCGAAAGAGCCAGAAAAAAAGCTATGTTATCTTCAAAAATCAGTGTGATTCTGTTTAGAACTAGACAGAGTTTTGTTCTAAAGGGACAGCTGGAGAAAAGAATAAGGCTGTTTTATGATTGTTCCTGGAGTCTAACTTACCCATATAACACAAGTGAATTCATGAAAGGGTGGAGATCATGTCTAATGCTTATTGAAGCTGCTAAGGTACTTTGCACATTACACATCATTTTCGTTAGAGCTTATTTGATTGCAAGAAAATAGATGCCTATACAAAGTAGCTCAAATAAAAACAACAAACAAATGTATTATGGATGTAACCTACATTTTCTGAGACCCGTTGGGCAGTCTGAGCTCTTATCTCTCCCAACTTGCACCTCTGCGCAATGTTACATAAACTACGCAACTCCAATTGCCACAAAACGCCCAAATCCAGCTCTATAACACATTAGTAAACCCAGAAGATTTCTATTCACACTTTTCTAAAAAAAGCAAGATACAATACAGTAACACTTCCATTCTGCTCCCCAAAGTATATCTCCTGGCTGCCAGCAACATCATCTTTTTTTCCTTGTTCCCTTTTGTCTCTTGCCACAAAGCCTCATAGATACCCTCTATTTTTCTAACAAATTCAGTTCTGGCGAGCTCTAACCAATACTAACCTGGGAAATAGCCATCACTCCCACTTCTACTTAGAAAATAATTCAGAAGAATTCAGAAGACCTTTTTTTTTTTTTTCTTACTTGTACCTCCTGGGATGCAAAGTAAGAATGCAAAGAGGCTTATAGAAAAGTTTGCTCAACAAAAACAGTTTTATTTGGTGGTAATGGGGAGTGAGAGTAAAAATGGGAAATCCCACTAGGAATTAATGGTTTTTCTTCATTTTCTGTCACTTTTACGTAATGGTACATTTCAGAACACTGAGAGTTGGAAAGGAAGTAAATGGAAGTAAAGACAAATTTCACATGACTGCATCAGGAAAGTGAGAAAGTGAGGGCGGGATCTTCACTTTTCAGGGCCTCATGATTTCTGTGATCTCTGCTGCTCTCCGCTTTCTCTTCTCCCAGTGGTCATCCCTGGGCTGCTCATGACCATGCACGGCTGTCAGTCTAGTATCTTATACAGCCTCCTTCAAATTCTCATTGTAATCTCTATGTCTTTGTTCAAGTTTCCAAAAGAGAGGATTTGATTGGCATGGCTCAACTAGTGGCTTTATTCCCCTGGGAGTGCTTGTTCAACCTTGGTCTGTATCTAGGAGAAGACAGAGTCCTGTGTTTCAAATAGGAGAGAAGAGACTGTGGGTGGGGTTTTTTTTATTTTATTATTATTTTTTTTGAGATGGAGTTTCGCTCCTGTTGCCCAAGCTGGCATGAAATGGCACGATTTTGGCTCACCGCAACCTCCACCTCCCGGGGTCAAGCGATTCCCTTGCCTCAGCCTCCTGAGTAGCTAGGATTATAGGCATGCACCACCATGCCCAGATAATTTTTTTTTTTTTGTATTTTTAGTAGAGACAGGGTTTCTCCATGTTGGTCAGGCTGGTCTCAAATTCCTGACCTCAGGTGATCCACACGCCTTGGCCTCCCAAAGTGCTGGAATTATAGGCGTGAGCCACCGCACCAGGCGGGTAGAGTCTTAATCCCTTAGAAGATAAGTGGCCTGGGAAGCAATGAATAACACCTGTATTACACAGATGTCCAACTGGCAGTTTATGAATAGGTTAAGTAAGAAATGTTGCACCACTACAAAAGCCTACATAGGATGGAAGAAGATATTAAAAGTTGCTTTATTGTTTTTATTTTTTCATATCATGTTGCTCTTTATGATTTCTCAGGCTTTTGACCATTGTAAAGGGGAAGTAAAGCTTCAGAGTTCCTGTACTGCAGGGAATTAGAATCTATTCTCTGTGGTTACAAATACAAATTAACAGAAGTAAACATAGAAAATGTTATGTAATAACTGTCTATTAAAACCCTATAGGGCCCTTGAGTTGCAAAGGATTACAGTTATCATGTGGGGAAGCGGAAAATGTTTTTTACACTGACTTTAGTCTGCATATTTCTATGACTGCAGGACATGTAACTAGAAGAGTAAGCAATAAGTCCTGTTATCTTTGGCAAGCCTTTCCTACCTAAACCACACTGACCACTCTTTCCCCTGACCAACCAAAATGCTACAATTTGGATTTATTCCTTTTCAGTGTCCCTGGGTATTTTATTCTGTTGTTTTCTGCCTTGTTTGTGCACACACAGACTCACTAATAAAAATAATAGTTTCTTAGTTATTTTTAAAGGAATAATAGCAAGGAGTCCAATGCTTATGAAGTATAGAAATAGTATTCAGCATTGGATAAATTAATAGATATGTGGGTTGAAGGAAGCACGGATCGATGCTTGCTGAATAAAAGATTGAATAGTATTCAATATTTATACATTTTTAGTTTGAAAACATTTCTTGATTTTATTAGCTTTTGACCATAAGTGATACACACGTAACTGTGTAGCACAATTTCCTCAGTCAAAAAAAAGGGGAGATAAATACTTACCTATTTACCTCAGTGGCTGTTGCAAGATGAAATAAGGTGACATTCATGAAAAAGTTTGGAAAAGTGGAAGCATGGAGAAAGAAATGTCAAATTGTTGACACGCTTTTCATTTCATAGTGTCTTCCAGTCTTCAGACCTCAAATAATTCATGTCAGATATGCAGAGTATGGGTTTGTCTTAGTTATATTTAACTTATTCAATATATTTAGCATAAAATTTAGCCTAATTTAAAATTTCTCATACATTTTAGGCCCATTTTATTTTAAAGTCATGATTTCTAAAATCAAAAGGTATGTACTAACAAATTTTCCCAGAGATTTTCACTTCTAGTCAAAATAGAGAAACAGGAAATGGATGAATCCTCCTGCCCGAAACAAATAAATCTTGTACAAACATAGGAAACAACATATTTCGAGACACTGGATATCAAAGAAAGCGAAGGAGGACACTGATTTCTGATAGATGGGGAGTAAATGAGGAGAGTCCCATTTATCCCGAGCTTACTGCCTTAGAGAGTTTTCAGACTAAAGCGGATGACGGACAACCTAGGTGGGGCCCAGGAGACTCTGAGCTAAACAGATGGAGCTGAGAGTCTGGGGAGAACAAGGCAGCTACAGTTTGCGCTAAAGGGTCTGAAAGAGGAGCAAGCAACACGGAAAGAGAGCTTTGGAGATCTGCTGAGGGCCCCCTGAAAATTAGCTGAATACAGAACAGGGCACGCATGAGAGAAACTCTCCAAGGTTGGGGAAAGAATAACCTGGAAGGACTGGAGGCAGTGGTGCCCTGACACTCACACAGGACAGAAAATAGTACCTGCTCAGATAAGCCACTCTCAAACAATCTCATGATTCATGGACATTTCATAGAATACGCAAAAGGGCCCTATTTTTGTAGTGGGGATAATTAGCCCTAAAACTGAGCATAGGGATAATTATAATCATAGTTAATTATAATTAATATTACATTTCCACCCAGTAAATCTTTAAAGCTAGACCTGAAGGAATCAGATTACTTCCAGGGGCCTTAACTGAGTACCAGAAAAATAGCTCTGAAGTAGGTTTAGGAATATTCGAATATCCAGCATGTACAAGATAAAATTCACAATATCTGGCATCCAATCAAAAATTACCAGGCTTGCAGAGAAGCAAAACAATACAAATCTCATTCAAGGATGGCATTTGATCAATTGAAATTGACCCAGAGCTGATGCAACTTTTAACATTAGTGGAGGTGGACATTAAAACAATTATTACAGCTGAATTCCATATGTGCAAAATGTTCAATGAAGACATGGACAACATTAACAAGACCCAAATCAAAATCCTAGAGAGGAAATGGATACTGTGCACAACAAAAAATACACTGGGTGGGATTCACAACAAACTAGTTATTGCAGAAGGAAATATTAATGAACTTGAAGACATAATAATAAAAATAATCCAAAATAAAACCCAGGGAAAAGAAAAATTTAAAAATGAACAAAGCATCATTGGGATATGTTAAAACTTCAAGCAGCCTAATATACATGCACTTGAAACCTGACAGAGAACACACTCACACACATACAGAGAGAGAGAGAGAGAGAGAGATACAGAAACAGAGAGAGACAGAGAGAGAGACAGAAACAGAGAGAGAGAGAGACAGAAACAGAGAGAGAGAGAGACAGAAACAGAGAGAGAGAGAGAGAGAGAGAAGTGGAAGCAGGGAAATATTTGCAGAAATAGTGCCCCCAGATTTCCAAATTTGATGAAAAGGATAAACTCATAGATACTTAAAAAGCACTTGCCTAACTCAAAGGTATTTTATGTTTTCTTCTAGAATTTTCCTAGTTTTAGATTGAACATTTTTATTTATGATCCATTTCGAGTTAATATTTTCATATGGTGTTAGGATATATCAAAGTTCTTTTTTTCACATATGGTTATCCACATTGCAAGCATCTTCAAAAGTCATTGTTGGCTGGGCATGGTGGCTCACAGCTGTAACCCCAGCACTTCGGAGGCCAAGGCAGGCAGTTCACCTGAAGATAGGAGTTTGAGACCAGCCTTGCCAACATGGTGAAACCCCACCTCTACTAAAAATACACACACACACACACACACACACACACACACACACACACAAAATTAGCTGGGTGTGGTGGTGCATGCCTGTAGTCCCAGCTACTAGAGAGGCTGAGGCAGTTTCAGGATCACTTGAGCCCAGGAGGTGGAGGTTGCAGTGGGCCGAGATTGGGCCACTGCACTCCAGCCTGGGTGACAGAGCGAGACTGGGTCTCAAAAAAAAAAAAAAAAAAGATTTATTTATAGACTATATACCCCTATAGACTGGAAGAAACTTTGCAAATATATAGCTGATAAAGACATTTATGAAAAACTCTCAACTCAGTAGAAACCAAGTAACCCAATCAAAAATATGTCAGGGATTTTCAGAAACCCTTTAGCCAAGAGGATATGTGGATGGAAATAAGCATGTGTAAAATGCTTAACATCATCAGCCATTGCAAAATACAAATTTAAACTGCACCAATATGCCACTAAACACTTATTTAAATGGCTCATATTGAAGACTGATTATCTTGAGTGTGGGCAAGGATTTGGGGGAACCGGAAGCCTCAGAAGCTGCAGGTAGAAATATAAAATTCTAAAATGACTCTGGAAAATAATTTAACAGTTTCTTTAAAAGTTGAACATATGCCTACTGTATGATCTAGCTGTTCCACTCTTAGGTATTTACCCTACCTAAGTGAAGTGTAAGCATATGTCCATATAAAAACTTGTACATAAATGTTTATAAAAGCTTTTTTGGTAATAGCCCAAAATTTGAAGTAACACAGATGTCCATCAACATGTGAATAGATACACAAACCATGGTATAGGCATACAATCAAGTATTACTTGGCAACAAATAAATAACTATTGATACATGCTGCAACATGAATAAATCTCAACATAATTATACTTAGTGAAAGTTGTCAGACTATAAAAGACCACCTACTTTAATAATTCCATATCTAAAATGTTAGAAAATGGAAAGTAATATATAGTAACAGAAAAAAAAGATTGGTTTTCCTTACGGATGGAAAAAGGTAGTGGAATTGTTAGGGAGAAACAGATCACAAGGGAGCATGAGGCACCTTCTGGGAATGGCACATATGCTCATTGCCTTGACCGTGGCGTTTTCACGGGTATGCACATGTGCACACGTCAATACTTATTAAACCGTACATTCTAAATATGCACAGTCAACTATACCTCAATGTACTTACTAAACATGGTATCCAGTGTTTGCAATATCTTTTTCAAGAACAAAAGAGGTAATAATCTTCTTTTGTCCTGCTTTTAAGACATCATCTCTTGACTTAGCTGACTTCAATAATTTATAACTTTATGCAATGAGTTTAGTACTTACTCACTAAATATGACAAACACCAATTAAGAGTCCCTGAAAAGACTAGCCTAGCAACTATAAGGCACCCTTTCCCTAAAGGACTTGCTGGAGGTCATAATTTTTACACTGAAGTCTAAAGGACATCTACTGGCGTAGGTTCTCCATTAAGTATGTTTTACTATGGGATAGTTTTTGATATCTATGCCAATGGATGCCTTAATAATAGCAAACACTCTGCCTATGGTTCTTTCTTTCTTCTTTACATTTTTTGAGACAACATCTCACTCTGTCACCCAGGCTGGAGTGCAGTGGCACGATCTTGGTCACTGCAACCTCTACCTCCTGGGTTCAAGCGATTCTCCTGCCTCAGCCTCCAGAGTAGTTGGGACTACAGGCATGCACCACCGTGCCTGGCTAATTTTTGTATTTTAGTAGAGATGGGGTTTCGCCATGTTGGCCAAGCTCATCTTGAACTCGTGGACTCAAATGATCCACCTACCTCGGCCTCCCAAAGTGCTAGGATTACATGTGTGAACCACCATGCCCGGCCCATGGTTCTTTCTAGGCTTGGAATATTGTAAAGTTGGAGCTTGACGTGACCCTGAAGGCTGGTTGAATGTCCTCAGCTTTCACACAGGTGAACAAAGGCCCAGAGAGAGGTGCCCACCCACCTGACACATAACAGGTGCCCCACTCAACCAATGCTAAGATCGAGTCTACTGATTCCCTGTTTCCCTCCTTCCACTCTACCTCAGTAAACCATCCGCCACTGGATGAGCTTTTCTGTATGAAGTCACACAGTTAAGAAGCTTCCACGAGGCCCCAGTGAATTGTCAGCTTTTTTTGGTTTATGAAAAACAAAATGAAAAATATGAACTTGTTCTGCTGTGCGCACATTTTGTCAGATGTAATTTTAAAACGTCTCATAATGCCTAAATGCCTTATGATCTCTTAATATTGCATTTGAAATTTTCCTAAAAAGGAAAATACAGACACTGAAAGAACACACACATTATGTCTCCATAATAGGAAAATAATACAAACTTTCTAAAGCCCTAAAGATGAGGGAGGGCATGCACAAGAAATTACATAACTTCCTCCATCTCTTTTGACTAAATCCATATTGCTGAGACTGTAATAAAAATATTAGATTTGAGGGTCCTATAAAATTCCAATCACTCTATTTCCTTCATGAGGTACAAGGTGTAAGATAATTGAAGTACTGCATTTGAGGTATAGCTTTTGACTTAAAAAAAATCCAACAAATAAAACCAGAAAAAACAATTACTACTCATTTACTGCCCTCTATTCCTGGAAACTTAACTTATGTATGAGCTTAGATTCATTTTATGTATTTTACTGATAAAATGAGGACAATTAAAATTTTAAAAATCAATAAAATGTAAAGCCAAAATAACATAAATAGATTTTCAGTAATATCCTGGAAGTCATAAAAGTAATTTATGTTCTATCCATTATATTAAACTTTCTGAAATACTTGGGGATGATTTAAGTTTTGGGTGATAAAAAGAATTTATTTATTTATATTTACACGGGTACTCTTTCTTATTTCTTCCAGAAATTACCAATTAGACAACTAAGCTTTCTTTTCAGAATGAAGAACAATGGTGGATAAGAAAAGCTATGAACTAGACATGCCCTTGCTAACAGTAAGTGTTAGTGAAGTGTCCTTCAGGCTGACTCACTAACCTTCATGATGCCCAAGTGTCTATCAGACGTGGCCCTTCACTGCGTGCTCAGATGGAGAAGATGAACCACAAAACAGCCTCGTATAATGGAATGTGCCAAAACCTAGAATCAGGCAGTGGGGGTTTGAGCCCTGGCTCTCTCATTAACTGCGTTTTGTTGGATCTCAGTTTTTTGAAATGAGAGGACTAAATGAAATTACCTCTAAAGTTAGATCCTAATTTTAAATATGTTATATTAGGGATGAAAGATTCTCCAGCATAGGAGGAACTAGACACTATGTGGAAAACGACAGATACCAATGGTCAGGATGAGGGAACCTGGGAATTCAGAAAGAACTACAGGCTCAGGAACAGGGAGGTGTAGGGATCAGAGTAGGTGGGAGGGTCTGATTCAAGTCCAAAATCAAGCTGGAGAATAGTACCTGCAACCATGAGTTATTAAAAAAAATTCCCTTCTTAGCAGGACTCTGGTTCTGTGATATACTCATGTCCATAGATGGTGGTTCTGAAGCCAAGTGTGTGAGAAAAGAAAAGGGGCAGGAAAAGGACCTGCTGTTATGGCAGCAACTGGTGAAACGCCGTAAGCCTTGCATGAGTTTGCCATGTCCCGTAGCCTGTGAGTCAGTGGCTGATCTAATCATTTAGAGGGAGGGCTTCCTACAGAAAGAGAAGAGAAAATAAAAAAGAGACTTAGTGAAGGTCAATAACAAAGCTTCATAAAGATATAAAGTCTTGAAGAGGACTCACTTGGAAAGTGGAAAGCACAGAAAGGGAATCAGTGCTAAAATCCAGGAGGGAAATTCTTTAAGCCATGAAGAGGAGGAGGAGGCTGCTCAATTCCTAAGCATGATAGACTGAGGAAAAGTTTGGAAATAGGATGAAATGCCCCAGGAGGGGGAAGTTCTATGGATCTAAACCAAAAGGGGCAGGAAAGAATAGAAAAGGAGACAGGAGGTATTTTGGCAAAGGGAGAGCATTAAAGTAGGTTTTGCTTCTTATGAGAAGACAAAAAAGGGAGGGCATGAAAACCTTCAGATTTTTCAGATTTGACAAGTGATAGTTTATCAAAATGTGAGTTTTGGAAAATGTAACACTGGGAAAATGAAAGAAGAGTAGAGAAAGAACTGACAGAAAATAAAAAAGAGACTGAGTGAAGGTCAACAAGAAAGCTTCACAAAGATTTAAAGTCTTGAAGAGGACTCACTTGGAAAGTGAAAAGGGATTCCAGAATTAAGAAAACTAGGCAGCCTCCAAATCTCTAGTTGTCCCCTGAGTCATGCAGGTGCTGAATGGGCTACAAGAGGATAAAAGAACAAAACTTGTATTTGAGTTGCCATCCAACTTAAGTGTTCATTAAAATGAAAAACAAATCATCAGAGAAACAAAACAGAATGCAGAGTTTCCATAACATGCATGATGCCCAAGATAAAATTCAAAATCACTCAACATACAAGGACATTTTAAACTGTGGTCCAATTTCGAGAAGAAAATACAGTCAACACAGACCAATTCTAAGAAGGCTCAGATGTTAGAATTATCATACAAGAGTTTTAAAGTGAGTATTATAAGAAGACTCCTCATTTATTAAACAGCAAAGATACTCATGATGAATTAAAAAAAAATCCAAGCAGAAAATAGAAATTATGGAGAAAGAACTAAGTGGACATTTTAGAATTTGAAAATGCAATATCCGGAGCTACGCACACAAACCACAGAATGCAGAACACAGAGGAGAGACTCATTAAATGTGAAGATGGAACCACAGAAATTAAACCTGAAAAAGAGAGAGAAAAGTATCTTGGAAAAATGATGAGCCTCAGAGACCTGTAAAGCAATATAAGCTGTATAAAACATACATAATTGTCATCTCAACAAATTAAGAATAGGACCGAAAAAAAGTTTGACAAGATAATGGCCACCAAATTCCGAAAGATGGTGCATTTAAAGATTCAAGGTGATCTTTGCACCCACTACGGTAATAAATATGAAGAAAATCATGCCTAGGCACATAGTATTGAAATATTGAAAACCAAAGAAAAATCTTAAATGCAGACAAAGAAAAATAATACAGTACATACAGGGAACTATGAATCAAATGACTTCACTTCTCAGTAGAAAAAACTCATTCTAGAACTCAGTGGAATGCCATCTTTAAAGTGCTGAAAAAGAAGTAAAAATCCTGTCAACTCAGAATTTTACATCCAGGAAAATACATCCTTTAAGGATGAAATCAAAGTAAAAATGTAGGTGGGATTCATGAGTAGTATTTCAAACACACAAAAAAAATGCATTTCTATTGAATCAAAATTGTTTTAGCTGATTAATCCTTTTTTTTAATGTCCTAAAAGGAAAATGACAGACATACAAGCTTTGCTATCCCTGTCCTTGTGGTAAAATAAACACTAGAAATAGAAGGTAAGAAGGCTATTAAATTTCCACAAAGTATAATACCTAGAGCTGGCAAAAGTCAGCAAACTCCTGTGGGTAGAGGCTGACACTCTTCATGGATCATAAGCAACTTCAAAATGCAAACGCTTCATCAGCTTTTTCACAGCATGAAAACCTTGAGAAGAAACACCAACATTTTACTAATTCATTGGTAGAATACGATGTTCCTCACCAGAAAATGGTGCCAAATGATGAATAAGGATTGACTTCTTGCCACATTCTAGGAGCGCAAATGGGTAAACAGGAGATATTACGATTATTAATCACTGCATTCATCAGAGAGGCACCAAGTGAGTCCTTGATCCTGAAGGGATTTCGCTAGTTGAGTTCAGATTGAAATCCACAGAGCCAAAGTTTTGCATCTACTCTTCATTGCAAAGAATCCGTTGAGGTTCGTGGACTAATAACTCATCCCTTTTGGCTTTGGAGACAAAGGTGGAATGAGAACGAAAACTAGAATGTTAAATATCCACCTTCACAAATAGGAAGCAGAGACTTTTGATCTCTACCCTCAGACAAAACGATTACTCTTTAAGTATGTTTCTGAATTGAGAGTTTTTTCGGACCTGGTGGAGCTAGATTCCTTGTTGGCAAAAATGGCTAGGAAAGGAATCTTACAAGCTGGAAAAAGTGCTCATGGAATCTGTTATATTGATCCTAATTATCAAATGGTGTAAATGCTATATGCATTTGTAGGCCACAATATGTAATCTGTATATTGTGTAATATATACACAGTTGTCATCCCAAGAAAGAATAAAATGTAAAA